>NT_187651.1:0-300000 GCF_000001405.40 Homo sapiens
TCAATGATCAAACCAAAGCAATTATATTTGATTCTGAATTTTAAAAGATTAGTCCATCAATTTATATTTAGAGGTTAGAAAACACATTCTGAGAGACAGAAAATTATACTACTTTTCTAACTTCCTGGAGAATATTGTGCTTTGTCAAATTTTACATTTATGAGAAGTTTTATATTAAAGCTATAAAATCTATCAGGGTAAGTTAATATGAGTATTTGAAAGTTTCACTGTTAAATTTATATTATCACATATTAAATGAAAGAACTGTTAACTGTGTACTGAATTCAAAAGTTAATATAGCTTCTCTCTTTTTTAAGAAATGGGACACAATATTAAAAAATTAAAGAGTTTTCAAATATTTATACTTAAATTTATATCTAAGGAATTATATATAGAATGCATACCTTTCAAGTAGATACTATTGTTGCTGTTAAGATTATTGTCAACAAAATTTAAATACACAGACTATTAAATAAAGAAATTAAAACAACAAAAAATAACCTCTCGGCCAGGTGTCCTGGTTAACCTGTAATCCCAGCACTTCAGAAGCTTGAGGCAAGAGGATTGCTTGAGACCAATAGTTTGAGACCAGCCTGAGCAGCAAACTGAGACTCTATGTGTATCAAAAAATGTTTTAAAAGTAGCCGGGTACTGAGGCAGGCACTTGTAATCCAAGCTACTTGGGAGGCTGAGGTGGGAGGTATGCTTGGGCCCAGGATTTTGAGGCTGCAGTGAGCTGTGATTGCACCACAGCCCTCCAGCCTGGGAGAGAGAGGAGACCTTGTTTCTAAAAACTAACTAAATAAACAATAATGTAAAAAATCTCTCTTTAGGTGTATGCTTCTCTTTGCCAGTGTTTAAGGGTTAAAAAATCAATATGAGAGATTAACTAAAGTACCAATTTAGAGTTAAATGAGTGCATTTGCCACTTGAGTGCCGATTGCCTCGCATGACAGACAATATTAAGTGCTGATGACTTTAACTTTCACAAGTTTTATGCGATAGTGGGATAAATTTTTACTTAAAATGTGTTAAACTTCGGTTTAATTGCACTAATTAATGTCTCAATAGATATACTGTTGTATCTACCTCAAAATGCAAACACCAATGAAGTAATTCATCAGAAGACTTGATATGAATAAAGAATGGAACAGTAAAGTTGAAGATAAAAAACATAGAAATTGAATAACAAATACAAGTAAGAAACAAGAAGAGTGATAAATAGCAGAACATGGCATCCAAGAGCTGAAGGACAGCTCTGGATGCCTAACTTGAACGGATTCATGAAAGAGAACAAGGATGATAAATACTTAAAAACAAAATGAATGAGAATTTTCCAAAAGAAGTGAAGGCAATCAAATCGTAAATCCAAGAAACATTTCTAGAGATATAGGGGCTACGTAAACAAACTAAAAAAAAGGTAAAAAATTATATGAAGACAAACATAGTTGTGTTGTATGTATTATATAGTTAAATATACGTTATACACAGGCACGAAGAAAAGAAGTACAGGAAACCTGTCCTCAAGAACTATTTAACTGTATACTGGAAATTTTAACCAGTGTACTAAAGTAAGAAAAATAAACAAAAGGCATACAAATTGGATACGAAGAAATAAAACTCTATTTGATTCGTGGATGGTCTATGCACAGTATTCCATTATGTACAAAATAATTAAAATTATTAGCAGTGAAGCTGCTAGAAATAAATTGTGAGTACAAAATAATTAAAATTATTAAAAGTGAAGCTACTAGAAATAAATTGTGAGTTTTGTAATTTCACACTATGCACTATAACACTATAATGTTAATATACAGAATTATTTTTTATATATAATTGTTGCAGGAAAAACCCAGACCTGTGTAGAAGAACATCCCTCTGCCAAAGAGATAGTGCTGAAATAACAAAGAAGGACTCAGACAAGTCCAGCTTCATGAGAAGATGAGTTTATTAGGACTTACGTAAAGGGCAGCGGGATAACTCCAGAGATCCGCCTGCTGCCCACCATCTTCCTCTAAGCTGCTTTTAAGCTACTTTTCTTTTCTTTTCTTTTCTTTTCTTTTCTTTTCTTTTCTTTTCTTTTCTTTTCTTTTTTTTCTTTTCTTCTTTTCTTTTCTTTTCTTTGACGGAGTCTCGCTCTGTCGCCCAGGCTGCAGTGCAGTGGCGGGATCTCGGCTCACTGCAAGCTCCGCCTCCCAGGTTCACGCCATTCTCCTGCCTCAGCCTCCCGAGTAGCTGGGACTATAGGCGCCTTCCACCACGCCCGGCTAATCTTTTGTATTTTTAGTAGAGACGGGGTTTCACCACGTTAGCCAGGATGGTCTTGATTTCCTGACCTCGTGATCCGCCCGCCTTGGCCTCTCAAAGTGCTGGGATTACAGGCATGAGCCACCGCGCCCGGCCAAAGCTACTTTTCTGGCTCTTTGCTTACTACATGTGATGAAACTGTTCTTCTTGGTATGTACCTAGATATGCTCCCGGATGTTTTGGTTTTCAGGGACATCTGCTCCTCGGCTGAGCACCATGAACTTTGCTCACCATCTAGCCTTCAGGACTCAAGCAGTCAACATATGCCCTTAAATTCCCTGGTGGGGGACCCGCTACTTTACAACACTATTAATGAACAATTGGAAATTAGAATTTTTTAAAGTTACATTTAAAGTAGCACAAGAAACATTAAATTCTTAATCTAAAAAAACATGGAGAAAGGGTAACAAAAACTAAAAAAACACTGGTAAAAGAAATCAAAGAAGAAGTAAATAAGTAAAGAGCTTGGTAGCCAATATTGACAATAAATTAATTCTGTTCAAACCAAACAAAAAATTCAATACAAAAATTCAATCCAGTTAAAATTCCTAACAGGATATTTGCAACTAACAAACAAGCTCATTCTAAAACTTTCAACAGAGAAGCAAAGGAATTATAATGGAAAAATCATTTTGACAATAAAAAAATTGAAGAATCCACTGATTTATATGTATACTATATACATATATGTATATATACATATATTATATATACATACATTATTATACATATATGTAATATACATATGTATATCTGTTGGTGACTTTAACCATATGATTCATAATTTCAAAAACTGGTGAATAGTCAAAAAGTTATATACTGTATCTATTTAATATCACATTAGGAAGAAAAAGAAACAAATCTGATAACATAACAACATGAATGTGTCTCAGATTTATTATGCTATTTTAAAAGCCAGATTTAAAGGCCTATTCAGGATGCTGTTTGCTCCCTTGTGTATGACATTCTAGAAAATATAAAACCATAGGGACAAAGAACAGCGATTTCCAAAGACTGAGGGCAGCAGAAATACTGATTCAAAAGGCACAAAAGGGAATTTTTCTAGGTGATGTTACTGTTCTATATCTTGAGGATGGTATTTGTTATATAACCATCTATGTTTTCAACACACTGCATACTTAAAAAGATGACTTTTGGCATATATAAATTTTAATTCGATAAACCTGAGTTTTTAAAACAAAGATTTTCTGTAACCAGTAGACTCATAACACTGTCTTCCTGCCATTGACTAAGATGGTTTCAATAGTGGATTCCTCTTGTTCATGCCAGCCAATGTGTCTTTTGTTTAACCAAAACCCTTGAAATATCTTTGCCTCAGGCTTTTATTGCAATTTCCTGTAATTTAAAGACTTCACCCTCCTATTCACAGGAGTTAGTATCTTGAAATGGTAATAACTTGAAAACAGCTATGGTGGGAGGACTTACTCTTTGAGTGTAACTTACATACATGCAGCATACACCATGTATCAAGACTTTCTTTTTTTCTGGTTTTTTTTTTTTTTTTTTGAGATGGCGTCTCACTCTGTTGCCCAGTCTGGAGTGCAGTGGTGTGGTCTCAGCTCGCTGCAACCTCCACCTCCCTGGTTCAAGCGATTCTCCTGCCTCAGCCTCCTGAGTAGCTGTGACTACAGGCACCATGCCACCACGCTGGGCTAATTTGTGTATTTTTTATTAGAGACGGGGTTTCACAATATTGGCCGGGCTGGTCTCGAACTCCTGACCTTGTGATCCACCCGCCTTGGCCTCCCAAAGTGCTGGGATTACAGGCGTGAGCCACCGTGCCCAGCCGACTTTCTTTTCATTTGGATCACTAGTTTACCAACATCACTGCCTTTACTCAACTCTATTAACAATTATTTAACCTAGTTTATCAAGTCACTTGTCAAAATAGAGATTTATATTGTTTATATATGTAATATTTTACAAATCTGTATTTTTGTACTTCACTATCTAATTAAACCTTTGGGGTAACTTTTATGTGTATCCCAAATAGGACAGGACAGTCATTCATTTCTTATAATGTATCAGCTAATTTCAAGGAGACATCGGAATTTTTGTGGAGACATCGGAATCTGAAGAGCAAAGTGATTCAAATTGGGTCACAGATTAAATAATTTTTAAAATGTTTACTTTAAATATCTTAAAAAACTTTAAGGAGAAAATTAATTTTTCTATATTGTTCTTGGCCTTAAAATATACATTAAGCATTAGTTTTCTGGCTTTTGATGTTTTTCATAAAATTAGCTCAAAAAATGCAAAAAGCTTGTATGAATATATAAGGGCCTTTGTAATCATATTGTAATTGCTTGACATAGTTAATTTCTTGATTTCTGACTCTGGCATCTGAGTTTCATAATTGTTATGTAATTACTCTATTTTTTTAAATCATGTTTTTAAATGGAAGTTTCAGTCTCAGATCTTTTCTATTTCATGCAATAAATAATTTTTAGCAGTAAAGAATTATTTGGCAATAAATATTTTTTGAGACGTCATGCTCCAATGATATAATTTAGTCCACTTTCTGCTTGAAAATATGCAAAGAAGAAATCTCTTGTTGGTATTAATTTCAGAAGTCGTCTTTGCACACACAATGATGATCATTCTGTTTTCCTTAGATAATTCATGGTAGTGTAACCCAATAATATAATCTTAGATGTGTAACTTACATACATGCACGTGGCACATGAAGCATGTGGTGTACTGAGATGAAAATAAGCTTGTAAAAGTCATTGGTTACCTAACTGCGGCTTGGTACCTAGCACACCCTACCTGCAACGGTCCCAACAGTTACACTGGCTCTATTTGACTTAGATGATGCAGGGGTGGGTTCAAAATCCCTCTCTTTTTCCTAATTACATACGACTGAGCATCCCTTCCCTTGTCTCAATCTGGGATTTTGAGAGTTTATTATAAGATCCCCAGTGAAAATCCACCCAGGTGGTTCTTCCCTACCCTCTTTAAATGTTCACACCCTAGTGTGAACAAGCTAGAAGTGGATTCTTTGAGGCAGTGACAACAGACCATGTTCAACTTCTACACTCCTTGATGTTTGTGTATTGGAAGAAGGTGTGACAAGATGCCAGGCACCAGAATTTCAGGTTGGTCTTTATGGAATTCTTGAACTCTAGGGCTGCATCCCTCCCTATAATGAGGCAAAGTTGGGGAAGTAGAAAGTTCAATGCAGCCTATGATTTTTACCTCATGGTTTTCTATAACCTAATACATATCACATTGAATTATGTGTTAACTCGTGAGCATTCAAATTAATAGAGCATGCTGTACCAAAATATTGTCATTATTTTGGTTATTATAAATTATATATGGCCATGATCAGTGCTATAGGGCAAGACTATATCATTTTTTACTTCTAGGCTAAAAGGATTATGTTCCTACACATGAATTATGTAACTTTTTAAAAAAAATAGTGATATTTTTCTATTAGAAGTTAAAGCAATTAGTTCTTTACAACATTGGCTACGTACTCAAATCAACTGATTCCTGGGTTTCCCCTCAATCCAAGTAAATTAGGCAGAGAGCAAAACTAAGGAACAGTATTTTCAAAGCTGACCAGGATTGACAATGACTGGTATTCAAATAGCTGTGAATTTGTGCAAATGTAGCAGAAGACAGCAAAGGGTTCTGGATATGCCAATTATTATTTATTTATTTTTATTATACTTTAAGTTCTAGGGTACATGTGCACAATGTGCAGGTTTGTTACATATGTATACATGTGCCATGTTGGTGTGCTGCAGCCATTAACTCGTCATTTACATTAGGCATATCTCCTAATGCTATCCCTGCCCCCTCCTCCCACCCCACGACAGGCTCCGGTGTGTCGTGTTCCCCACCCTGTGTCCAGGTGTTCTCATTGTTCAATTTGCACCTATGAGTGAGGATATGCGGTGTTTGGTTTTCTGTCCTTGCGATAGTTTGCTCAGAATGATGGTTTCCAGCTTCTAGAACTGGAAATACCATTTGACCCAGCCATCCCATTACTGGATATATACCCAAAGGATTATAAATCATGCTGCTATAAAGACACATGCACACATATGTTTATTGCGGCACTATTCACAATAGCAAAGACTTGGAACCAACCCAAATGTCCATCCATGATAGACTGGATTAAGAAAATGTGGCACATATACACCATGGGAATACTATGCAGACATAAAAATGTATGAGTTCATGTCCGCTGTAGGGACATGGATGAAGCTGGATATGCCAATTATTATTAAAATAATTTTTGGGTTAAGCTGATTTTTACTTTTCTGAAAGAAAGATCCAAACACAATGCCTATAATAAATCTTAGAAATTGTCTGTCTCCATTGGTGAGATTAGTCAGTATAAACACTAACATATATAAATAAAACCAAACAACAGTTACTCTTTTCCATAATGTTATGCTTTTGTGTTCAATGAAATATTTAATTTAATTACTAAATTTCTAGCATTTCTCTGAAGGATAAAACAAATAAGCAAACAAACAAATTAACAAGAAAAAACCAAAATAACTTCAATGAATTAAAACTGTCTAGTGCTACCTTTCCTATAATTATCGTCACCAAATAAAGTGCCTATTGGACAGAGATGGCTGGTTCACCGCAATCTCCACTGACCCTTTCGCCATCAGTAAAAATGTCCTCTAATGCTTAGCCGGACACATGATCACCAGGAATAAATGCTATATTCCCAATCTTTTCTTAACATAGGGCATGACACATGTGACCAATTTCTGACCTATGTTGTGTAAGGGGAAGTAACGCGTGTAACTTCTGAGAAGCTGACTTATATGCAGGGGGCATGTCCTATCTCTGTGCTTTCTTCCTTCTTGGAAAGGCAGCTCTGATGGCTAGATCTGGGGCAGCCATGGGGCAACATGACAAGCAGCAGTACTTGGAGGTGCAAAGCAACAAGATAATAGCCATCTGGATTTCTGATGATCATGAAGACATCATATCTGAACTGGGGTGTCTGCATATCCCTGAGAGGCAAAAAATGTCTATATTGTTTCCGTGAGTTCTTAGCCTACACTGCACATACGAGTTATCAGAGAACTTTCAAAATTTATCAAATGCCCAGTCCTATTAAGGTATCTGGAAACTTATTCTTGGCCTATAATTTTCCACTGGGTCAACTATAACCCAGGTTTATCTGTCTTCTATATCCAGAGACTGTACCCTGCTCCTATGCAGTCTTGCTCTCTCCATAGCTTCATATGTGCAGCAGAACTCACCCTCTGCCTTCCATAACCAGGAGTGGGGCGCTACCTTCCCTCACCTGACTCCTGTGCTGCAGAAACTTGCTAAGAAACACGGAGCATATGTTTCAGACTCAGAATAAAATTATTTTTACAGTCACCAAGTTTTAGAGGTTCTGATTTAGTGTATCTGGGTGTGTCCAGGGTACCAGTGTGCTCCCTTCTCACTCAAATGAAAATTACTGGAACATGATGTTATTTGGTATTCAGTTACACAAAGCTGAGTGTAACTGATTGGTTAATAGTAAAAGTTTTGATTTCAGTAAAATAGTTGAATTATTCTAAACCATAACTTTGTAGCTACATGATTTGGGTGAGATGATTTTTTTTTTTTTTTTTTTGAGAAGGACTCTCACTCTGTCACCCAGACTAGAGGGCAGTGGTGTGATCTTGGCTCACTGCAACCTCCTCCTCATGGGTTCAAGTGATTCTCCTGCCTCAGCCCCCCGAGTAGCTGGGATTACAGGTGTGCACCACCATGCCGGACCGGTTTTGTACTTTAGTAGAGATGAGGTTTCACCATGTTGGCCAGGCTGGTCTCAAACTCCTGATCTCAGGCGATCCACCTGCTTTGGACCCCCAAAGTGCTGGGATTACATGAGTTAGCCACCACACCCTGCCTGAGATGATGTTTTTGAGCCACAGTATTCCCATCAGTAAACCGGACATACTAATTGTAATTTCAGGTATTTTTGTGACACATATATTGTTGAAATTATTATTATTAAATTACTGACTTTAATAATACATTCTTAAATTAGTTATTATTATAATAACATAATTAATATTGAAAGCAGTTTATAAACTTGCGTGGTGCTAGGGGGCACTACAATGTAAAGGAATTTATGTAATAAAAGTAAAGATGCAACGTTTGATTTTATTTTTCATGTTTTGTAATGCAAAAATTAACTGTCCTTTTATTTAAATTACAGCACATGCAAATTAACTTTTAGGTATATAATTATTCTGAATTATTTCAGAAAACTATTATGGTCTCATCACTGGATTAAAAAATGTAATAATATTCTCAGTTTAAAGAAAATGCACAGGTTTTAAATCCTCTGTGATAAGGGCCCATGAACTTGGAGCTGCTGATTTTTTTTTTTTTAATTTGCAGGGTTTTTACATAACAAATTATCAGAAACCAAAGCACCCAGATATCAGACTATGAATAGAAAACATCTTTCCTGAACAAATACAGGCTTTATTACTTAATTGTATTTACACTGATGAGTGCACACAAAGAAAAATCAATTTGTGGGAGTTTATTTCATTGGTATTGAAATTGTATCTTCCTTGAAAAACTTGGCACACAGTGCCTAGTTTGTCTCCCAGTTCATTATATTATTATTTTACTATATTCTGTGCTGTTATGTAGTTTTATATGGGCTCACTAGTTGAGTGTTCAAAATTGCTTTTCTGAACTATAGAATATTAACTTCCAGTATTTACCAAAAAAATGTTATTTATTAAAAAAATCACAATAAAAGGGCATAAAATAAATATAAATACTCAACATTTTCAAGGTTCTTGTGGAATCATTCTGAAAGCATTAAAAGGAGAGGCTGGAAATCTGCGTTTATAATATTGGTCATTTCCCTACCTACTTAATAGTAACATTAAAGCTTCCTCAGTATGCTTTCTGAAACAAGTAAAAATGTTCTTTTACCTTAACTTATACTGTGGAAAATCTCAAAGGAATGCTAGAAAACCATTCCAATGTACTCACCCAAACAACACAAAATACCCACACCTTCTCCAATTCAAACAATCATTTAATTAATCGAAAGAGCTGAGATGCACTCCCTCTCTACCTCATAAGGGCTTCCATCATGAACTTGATTGTGTCCTAAATTCAGTCCTCCAGGAGAAGCTCATCACCCTCCCCATGTCCTGAATGTCAGAATCCAAAGCTGGAAACTGCATCCTACTTAATCTTTATGTTTTTTGAAAAAGTTTATCTTTCTTCCCGGGAATAAAAACATCTATTCTCTGAGGCACATGTAAGCATTTATCCTTCAGTATAATGAACTTTTTTAGTCATATTGTTAATGACAAGCTTACATAAATTTTTTTCTGCTCCCACCTTCAAAGCTCCAAGCCCTGTATTCTTACAGGATGATATTCATAAACTATTCGACCTTAGCTTCCCTCCACTTAAGCCTTTCTTGCTCAGAATCACTCCTTTTATTAGTTATCTGTTGATGCTTAACATATTACCTCCAAAACTTAGTGGATTAAAACAACAAACATTCATTATGCCAACTTCTCTGGGTCAGGAACTATATCAGAATTAGTAAGGCCCTCTAGCTCAAGGACTCTCATAAGGCTGCCATCATTTAAAAGCCTTACTTAGGGAAGATTCACTTCTAAGATTAATCATGTGGCTGGGGGCAGTCCCCAGGTCCTTCCTTGCTGGCTGTGACTGGTGACACTGGCTCCGTGCTATGTGGACTTCTTAATAGGCAGCGCCCAACATAGAAGTCAGCTTCCCTTACAATGAAAGAGAGAGAGAGGATTCCCAAGACAGAAGCCACAGTCTTTGTGCAATCTAATGTTGGAAGTGATATCCATCACTTCTGCCACAGTCTATTTGATAGTGAAGTGAGATAAATTCAACTAGGACAACAGAGTAGAAGATTCCTCAAGGAGTTACCTCTACCAGGGGTACAAGTGACATGGAGCAATTTTAGAGGCTGCTTACCAAACCCATGAAATGTATAATGACAAAACATGATATTCCTCTTAAATGACTAAATAAGCACACCACTCTTTGATCAATCTCCTGTCTGTTCAGTGTGGCAACAATTCCCACTGCAGCTGTTCTCCTGCCTCACTAGGACTTTCAATCCACTGGTGCCTCAGCCTTTGCCTATAGCATTATGATCCTCCTGCGGTCAGTTACTCCCACAAGCAAACTAACAATGGCTCTTCTCAACACTGGCTTTATGTTAGAATTGCCTGAGGAGGTTCCAAAGATACATATGAGTGCCTTGGCCCCAATTGAGATTGGCTGACCCAGTGTCTCTGGGACCTGGCATTCTATTATGATACTAATATGCAGCAATAGTTGGGAATCGATATTGTAGATTCAATTACTGAATATTTTAAAATGTAATTGCCAGTAACATAAAACCAGAATTGACATACTGCTTCCCTTGGGCTAAATACAATCCATCACCTATTTTTTAAATAAATTCTTATTGGAACGCAGCCACATTTTCTTATTGTCCATGGTTGCTTTTGCAGAACATGGGAGAACTGAGTACTTCCTACAGAGACAATATGGCTCACAAAATAAAAATATTTACTATCTGGCCCTTTGCTTAAAAAAAATTAATGAGTTTTGACCTATCCCCTTTCACATCTTCATTTTTCTCTCTCTCTTTCTCCCTCTCTCTCTCTCTCCCTCGGTTGCTTTTGGTTTTGTCCTTTTTAGAAGCACATTGCAACCTCTTCTCTAGATGAACTCAACTATCTGATTTCTGCATATTTCTCAGTCCATGACTGCTGCTGAAGAATGCCATGCAAGAAAACAAACTGATAATATTTTAAGACAATGATCACCATTGGAAACCGGGTTTTCAATTGTGCCTGACATAACTTTTTCAATCTCTACAATCCTCTAATTTCTGACACTCTCTTCTCCCTTCTCACTTCTCTCTCTCTGCAGATGACTTTGCTACTGCAACACAGAGAAAATATAAGTCTTTATACTCATAGTCTTTCAACTACCTGGCACTAAATCAATATACCTGTCTCCATTTGCAACTATTATCTTTCTCCCTGATCCTGTCAAGATGATCTTACTCTTTGTTGTAGGCTACTTTCCTCCTCTGACTTCAGAATTAGTTCTCACCTGACATTAAGAGGAAATTTACATTGTTACCAATTTCTCTACTGAAAATCCAACTTTTTATTTCCACGTAGATGCTTCCCATCGTGGTTTCCATGGACTTTATTGTCTCAATGATTGTCATTTTAGATCTATAACTCTTTTTCTGAGCTTTGGGTCTATATAAGCCAAATTTCTGCTCAACGGAGCAACCATATCCCCACTTTAATTGGACAAGTCTCTCCAGAAAATAAATCTCCTATTTCCTGTTGTGTTAAATGAAGAATAATTACTAAGGTATTCAGTAATGATAAAGAATCTGGGAATTTAACTGTTCTTGATATGAAATTTCAAACTACACACTTTTTTTTTTTTGGGAAGCCAAACCCACCTCCAGCATTTTATTCCCACACATGATAAGCTTGTCCAAGGTGTGTGTGGTTTGGATGACTTTATATTTTGTTAGCTTTCCTCTTCCCTCTACATATGGACACTATGTTTTGTCAAAAGGAAACGTGTACACTGGTTGCTTGTTAAAAATAGCAAGGAAGACTATTCAGGACTATAGCAATGGGGGAATAATATAGCTATAGTAGAGAGAGATTGAACTAAAATTTCTCCCAGCATGGAGCTGGAAATTTATAAGCAAAGAGCTGAGGGAGTGAGTCAGTGGATAGAAACTAATTAGATATTAAGGGTGGCGGGGGGTGGGGTGGCGGGGAGCGGGGTTCTTGCTAAACTGCATTATTGCTAAAGGCATGCCAAAGTGATAAGATATCCAGGGCGAAGTGATTCTCAGTGAACTGGCTTAGCAGGCGTCTTTGTTAAACTGGGCCTGAGAAGAGGGACTGGAGAAGAATGATTAAACTTTGGTCAAGATGGGAATCTGTCAGTTTTGGCCTTCTCTAATCTATGTGGTTACGCTGCTCGAGAGCTTGCTAAGATGTATTCAAGAAGGCTAGTGTATTAGCTTGTTCTCACACTGCTGCTATAAAGAAACACTTGAGATGGGGTAATTTATAAAGCAAAGAAGTTTAATTGGCTCGCAGTTCTGCAGGCTGAACAGGAAGCATAGCAGCATCTGCTTCTGGGGAGGCTAAAGGGAGATTTTACTCATGGCAGAAGGCAAAGTGGAAGCACGAATCTTGCGAGGCAGAAGCAGGACTGAGAGGAAGAGAAAAGGTGCCACACACTTTCACCAACCATATCTCATGAGGATGCTATCATGATACAGCATCAAAGGGGGAAATCTGCCCCCATGATCCAGTCACCTCCCACAAGACCCCACCTCCAACACTGGGGATTACAATTCGGCATGAGATTTGGTAAGGGACACAGATCCAAATCATATCAGCTAGTAATAAAGTGTATTAAGATTTAGGAGTTGATATGGTTTGGCTGTGTCCCCACTCAAAATCTCATGGTGAATTGTAAACCCCATAATCCCCACATGTCAAGGGAGAGACCAGGTGGAGGTAATTGAATCATGGAGGTGGTTTCTCCCAAGCTGTTCTCATGACAGTGAGTGAGTTCTCTCGAGATCTAATGGTTTTACAACTGTTCGGCAAGTTCCTCCTCCCATCCTTCTTTTTCCTGCCATTTTGTGAAGAAAGTGCCTGCCTCCCTTTCACCTTCCACTACGATTGTAAGTTTCCTGAGGCCTCCCCAGTCATAGGGAACTGTGAGTCAATTAAACCTCTTTCTTTTATAAATTACTCAGTCTCAGGTATTTTCATATAGGAATGTGAGAAAGGACTAATACAGGAATCTTCAAGGACATCCCATCCAAATTAAAAGTTGTGTATCACTTGCTTCTTTGACCTCATCTACTGTATTAATTACATTTATATGTATATACACACACACACACACACACACACATATGCAAACATATATATATATCAGCTTTACTAAATGGTCTCTATATTCTCAGTTTTATTGTTTCATTAGGAAAAGAAATTGGCTGGGATATTGGTAACAGTATATTTCTGCTTATGCTGTAATACCCAAGTTGAAACATTTGATAGAAATTGATTGATGCTTGTTACCTGATGTTTTAAAATAAGGGCTAAATAGTTATATATCTCAATATTATCGTTATCCTGGATGTGACAGGGTACAGATGTGACAATGCATGTTTTTATAGTGTGTTCTACTGGTGATTCAAATAACTAAGGTATTGCCACTGGCAACATAATTTTTGTAAATATTGAAAGACTCTGGGAAGTTTCTACAATAAAAAGACTTTTTCTCTTCAATTTCCGTAGTGGTTGCATTCTGAAAAATTTAGTTTGTATTAAGCCATTCAAAGTATTTACATGTAAAATATTCATTTCTTGACTAAATAATTACAGATGATCACTTACGTGGCTATCCATTGGGGCATTTGATGGGAATATTTTTTACAATGTAGGATCGCAGGATATCTAGTATTGTTTGTCCTCACATTGGAAATACAATTACTGCCTTCTGATCGTTTTGACAATGGAGACACTCAAGCATTTCTAAACAGAAAAAGCTGGTACAAGCACACTTGAAGCACAATACATCTGAAAGGCACATGAAGAGTTCAATAAAATGTTTAACAACTGAAAAGACTGCAGAAATAAATTTAAGTATTCTGTCTACACTAAAATCCAAATGTAAATTATATTAGAGTTGCAGCTATTTAATACGCTATTTCAGCATTCACATGCTATTTTCTTTTTCTATTCAGATGTTTTTTCCACTGCCAGACACTTTCTAACAAGTCCTTCAAACCCTCTTTATAATAACTTATGAAAATATTTGTTACATTATGCTCAATGATTTCCTCAATTAAAATGATATATAAAATAAGAACAAGTGAGAGGAAAAAAACATAGTTTGTGCATCTGTTTTGTGATAAATATAGTAGTTAGATCTATTTTATATAAGTTTTCTCATTAAACCCACATCAAACTTTTTCTCCTGTATTTTTTAAATGGAAAATGTGAGGTTGATAGGAGTTAATTAACTCTACTAATAGCTGACGGAAATGAAACTATCATTACTGAGAACTATGGTTGGTTTTTACAATTATTTCATTTTTTGTTGGTTTGTTTTTGTTTTTGTTTTTTGAGATGGAGTTTCGTTCTTGTTGCCCAAGCTGGAGTGCAATGGCGTGATCTCAGCTCACTGCAACCTCTGCCTCTTGGATTCCAGTGATTCTCCTGCCTCAGCCTCCTGAGTAGCTGGGATTACAGGCACGTGCCACCACGCCCAGCTAATTTTGTATTTTTGGTAGAAATGGGGTTTCTCCATGTTTGTCAGGCTGGTCTCGAACTCCCAACCTCAGGTGATCCACCCACCTCCGCCTCCTAACGTGCTGGGATTACGGGTATGAACCAGCATGCCCGGCCAATCTATATCTTTTAAGTGTGAAATGCTTTCAGAAAAATATTTCAACCAAAAGGGAGAAATGTGGAAGTTGTGAGCACCAAAATGGAGTCACTTACATCAAACCATAAAAAAATGAAGCTGGGAGGCCATGAAAGAGGGGCCTTCATGTACATATGTCTATAATAAGAACTGCTGCAATGGTTCTCTCAAAAACCACGAAAATGTTAGATATGATAATTCTATGAAGACATCTCTCCAGCAACAGCCAATATTATCAATGAGTATTTGCCAACTCTTGTAACAAGCTTCTCTGGCCCATGAGGTTTATTACAAAACTTACATAAAATTTCTCTTTTAAGATTTTTGCCTTCCTGATATGGTTTAGATTTGTGTCCCCACCCAAATCTCATGTCGAATTGTAATCCCCAATGTTGGAGGAGGGGCTTGGTGAGAGGCGATTGGATCATGGGGGTGGATTTCCTCCTTGCTGTTCTTGTGATAGTGAGTTCTCATGAGACCTGCTTGTTGAAAAGTGTGTGGTATTTCCCCTTTGCCCTCTTCCCCCTGCTTCGGCCATGTAAGACGTGCCTCCTTCCTTTTTGCCTTCTGCCATCATTGTAAGTTTCCTGAGGCCTCCTCCAATCATGTTTCCTGTACAGCCTATGAAATCATGAGTCAATTAAACCTCTTTTCTTTATAAATTACCAAGTCTCAGGTAGTTCTTTGTGCTAGAACAAACTAATACAGTCCCTCAGCTTCTTTGGTGCCTAAGGTCCACCATAGCATGTGTATTTCAAATTGCAATTTACTGCTATTTCCTGAATACACTCCACTCTTTATTTTAGAGAGTCAGTATCTCTGTTGTTTAAGTTGACATAATCTAATGTCAGAAGCAAGATGCAAAGGCTCCAAGCCTTCTTTGTTACTTACAGTTACAGCACTGTTATCCAAACAGTAACAAAGAAAGCCTTTGGAAGGCTTTCAAGTATCTGGCGATACTTGAAATTGTGTATGATACTCACCTGAGCCTATTGTGATCTTCACTTGTACAAGTTGTCTTTATGCTGCGAGATAAGTCCTCTCTTGGTTTGAGCTCCCACCTTTTCAGTGAACTCTTACATTTTGGGGGATCTGCTCTTGTAAAGGACATCCTTTCTGGTGAGTATTCTTTTGGTTTAATTTTTGGTTTGGTTATTTGTGCATGAATTTAATCTCATTAGGAAACAAGTTAAGTTGAATAGACCAACTAGTGAATTAATCCGTCTCCAAAATATATGTTTTTGGCATTTACCTGTTTATTTTGAAACTCTTTGTAAGAAATGTAAACCTGTAATGATAATCTCTGCTTTGTAAGGATATCTCCCTCTCTGACACCTAAAACACTAGATGCTTTCACAAAGCAAAAGGAAGAGACCTAAATCTATCTATCTGTGTAAACTCACCCTTGACCATTTCATTCTGAAGGCTTCCTATATATGCTTTTTTTCATCTCAACAAATAGTGGTGTTTAAGTTCTGTACCTTTGAGATTTAAATTTTCTACATTCCTTCACCTAAAAATCATCTCTTTGGAAGTACAAATTTTGGGTGGCCTAACTAACACTTGTTTATGGGCCAATTGAACAGATCATTAAAAGACAGATAGTCTGAAAGAGGGAGTAAAACTACTTGCAAGCCAGGCAAATAACAATTCTTAATGCAAGTTGTAAGTTCTTCCTCTGTCTGTATTTTTCTACGTGTGTGTGTGTGTGTGTGCGTATGTACAATTTTTTCTACCAAAATTCATAAACGGCTCTACTTAATTGGCTTACAGAGAAAACATAAGTGTTTAAACTAAGAATTCTCTCAGAAAAACAGAAACTCAATTGCCTTTTGGCTTATGTGATGAAATAATCTTTGGCAGACAAAGCTAGTTTTAAAATTTGTTGGCAAAATAAAAACAAATATTTTCAGAATTGTCAGCATTAATTACAATGTACAGATACAGTTTTTAAACCTAAAGTTACTGGTGAAACAAGCTTGCTATTACTGAGATGTATAATGAATGTCTTAAAGCTATAAATCCACTCATCGTTGTGTTTAAGGAGGAACTGAAGCACAATTGTTAAGAACAAGTGAATTAGGTGAATATACATTGACAAAAGGTTGATAATAAAGTTGTCAGAATTTCAAAAATAATTTAGTGTGACTTGAAATCTTAAAATCATGTTATATTAAATTAAGTAACACTTTACTGATTTAATATTTGAGTCATTTCTAAGGAAAATACTGAAATATCAATTGCTTAACAGAAGTTTAAAATATACGTAATTTGGCATCTTGGTTTCACATGTTATGGAAAAGCTAAACATATTTGGGCCTGTTAATTAAAGGCATAAAAATTATTTTATGAGATGGTGTTCATCTGCAAAATACTAACATGATGCACTTCAAAATGCTTACTAATTTTCACTAGAAATTAAGGTTACTAAGAGTTAATTAAAATTAATATTAGAGTAATTTAAACTAGAAATAATGAAGGGAAACAAATCTGTACGCGAGGGAAGGAAAACACATAAAGAAAGTTATAAGTAAGAGGTTGTGTTTTTGTTAAGGGAAAAAGAGAGTATTTTTTGTCTAAAAGTAGAATGTCTTACTGTTCCAAAAAGAAAAAGAGAAAAAATATAGACAAAAACTGAATAAGATAACTGGATGACAAATTTATAGAAAGTTTGTGGAAGATTAATCTTGTGAAAAGAAT
Source organism: Homo sapiens (assembly GCF_000001405.40). Classification (NCBI taxonomy): domain Eukaryota; kingdom Metazoa; phylum Chordata; class Mammalia; order Primates; family Hominidae; genus Homo; species Homo sapiens. The sequence continues at coordinate 17,527 of NT_187651.1, forward strand.
TTTATGTGTGACCAAGTTGGCTAAAGTTAAAAGGAAATTATTTATAAATATTCTGAAAACTTGAGCATTATTATCAAAAGTACAGGAATGGAAAACTTGAAATTTGTCCCCTGTGCTGAAACAACAAGCTTTTCTTTGAGTATTGACCTGCTCTTAATAGAAAATAGTGAAATGTTTTCTCTACCTTTTAGATAACTGGCCTAATAAACCAAGATTTTTTGTTTATCAAGGTAATTTCTTATGCTTTATGCTCTCTTTTACTAGGTCTTTGATTACTTGAGAAAAGTGAGTGAGGTGGGGCCAAGATGGTTGACTAGAAGCAGCTAGTGTGTGCCACTCTCACAAATAGCAGAAAGAGTGGTGAGACACTAGCTCTTCAACCGGAACATCCAGGTGGACACATAAGGATTCATCAGTGACATAGTGTGACCTTCGGATCACGGAGAAGAGTGAGACAGATCAGCCATTCACCCAGGAGTGGCACAGACCCAGGGGAATCCCCCTACAAGAAAATGGTGAGTGAGTGAGAGTCCCGTGGGATGCATATTTCTGCCACGAACCTTTGAATCCCTGGGCTCAGGAGATACCCCAGCTGGGGTCTCCAGACCAAAACAGAGAGCCATGTGGAGTCTGGGTAGAGCTGCTTCTTAGGTAGGTGTGGAGTTCCAGTAGCATTTGTTCCCTGGGTACCCCAAAACCAGGGGCTGCAGCTCCAGCAATTGGGAAGGCCAAGTTTTCTTGCACGCTCCCCAGAAAAGGGGCCAAGTCCATGGGGCTGAGCAGTGATAGACTGCAGACCTCACCACCACTGAACCTTGTAGGATAAGGCCCACTAGCCTGGGATGCTAGTGAGGCCACCCTAGTCCTCCTGAGTTCTCCAGCTGGGAGCAGCTCTACACTTCTCCGGCATGCAGCTTCCAAAGAGAGAGGCAGTCCACCTTTTTGCTGTCTCGCAACCCTCCCTCCTGCTGCTCTCAGGCTTGGGAGGGTGCACAGCAATTAGGGACTATCACAGAACCCCAGCACAGTGCATCTGGTGAACTTAAAAAAGTCAACAAGTGAAAAACAAACAATCCCATTTAAACGTACACAAAGTACATGAACGGACACTTTCAAAGGAGGGCATACATGTGGCCAGAAAGCATATGACAAAATGCTCAACATCACTAATCATTAGAGAAATGCAAATCAAAACCACAATGAGATACCATCTCACACCAATGAGAATGGCTATTATTAAAAACTCAAAAAATAAGAGATGCTAGTGAGGTTGTGGAGAAAAGGGAATGATTATACAGTGATGGTGGGAATGTAAGGTAGTTCAGCCATTGTGGAAAGCAGTGTGGCCATTTCTCAAAGAACTCAAAGCAGAAGTGCCATTCAACTCATCAATCCTACTATTGAGTATATACCAAAAGAAATACAAATCATTCTACCATAAAGACACATGCACGTGTATGTTCATTGCAGCACTTTTCACAATAGCAAAGACATGGAATCAACCTAAATGCCCATCAGTGGATGAAGAAATGTGGTAGATATACAACATGGAATACTATGCAGCCATAAAAAGAATGAGATCATCTCTTTTCCAGCAACATGAGTGGAGCTGGAGGCCATTATCCTAGAAAACCCAATACCATATGTTCTCACTTATAAGGGGAGCTAAACATTGAGTACATATGGACACAAATGGAACAACAGACACTGGGCCTACTTTAGAGTGGAGGGAGGAAGGAGGATGAAAATTTAAAAATTACCTACTGGGTACTATGCTTATTATCTGGGTTATGAAATAATCTATACACCAAACCCCGTGACACACAATTTACCCATATAAATGCGTAAGTAACCCACATGTGTACCCCTGAACCTAAAATAAAAGTTAAAAAAAGAGAAAAGTAAATGTTCTCAGTATTAAAAAGCTATGTTTTTGTTGACAATTATGTAAATTTCTACATTTATTTTTTGAAATCTTTTAATTTTCATTTTGGTTACCTGTTATCGTACTCTGATAAAGTGTTTTAAACTGTTTGATGTTTTTGACAAACTTCCCAAAATAATATTTTAAATTAACTCTTTTTGCCCTCAAGTTAATTTTGATATTTCTCATTTGGACCCCTGGAAAGATCAAAGAATGTGTATCTCACATTGTAAAGAGATATATTAAACTAATGAGACTTACTTGATATATTAAATTATATAGGGAGTATTGTCAAATACTAAGTGGTGCTAAACCTTCTTTAAGTTGTATTTCAGAATGTTATTGATATGTGTTACAAAATTATATTGAATTCTTCAAAATCTGATATGTTATCGGTCATAATCTTGGTTATTATCTTCAAGTTTTGTATGCCACAGAAATAAACAAATTTCTTTGTCAATTACATTATTATTATAATAAACTCCATGAGATTTTTAACCATGGCCACTCTAGGTCTGTCATCCACAGGGACCGACTGCTTTCATTCTTTTCCAAAAGCATTTGCCATCAGCTACAATAAAAAATTGCTTCTTCTCTGAAACTGATGACCCATTAAGGTTTAACCCATATACTCCTCTATATACCTCTACAGCCTCCCCAAATCAAGTTGATATATTCCCCTAGCAGTCTGTGCAATGGAGACCAACACTACATTCTTTTAGATTGTTTTAAATTACATTTTTGAACTTCCAGTTTATTACATACCAAGAGTTGATTACAACCTCCTTGTTTCATAAGTGGAAGCTATGTTAGGGTTGGATGTGGGTGCCATAATTTCTTCAAGGATCCTGGACAGAGACCCACATCAGGATCAGAAACCCTACGATAGCATTGCAGATCTCATGGCTCAATAATCCTTGAAGATTATAATTTTCATCCTACTATCAGTTGCACTTTCTGTCACTTTTACTGCATTAAGTCTCCCGGTATCAAACAGAGCTCTGTGGTGTCACTGACTGAGGAATGGAATAGAGATGTCCACAAGGGGTCTTGATATCATGACTGCACAGAGATGTGAAAGGAGAGACCACTTCCTCACCACCCAGCTACTTCACTTCTCTCCCGGTATCAGCCCTATAGTCGGACCTAGGCTTTCAGAAGTGTAAGTGTGCAAACAAGTTTCGGTTGGACTTTAAGAGGACACTTTGTCATAGAAGAAAATCCAGTATCTCTAAGCTGGTTTTCTTTTCAGGAAAACATCCTGAGGGACCAGTAAGCAGGGAGATCCTTTTTCTAGTTTGCCTGTAGAGTTAGGAAGACAGTTGATTTTTCAGTCTTTTACAGGATGCTTAAACAAAGCTGTGTAATTACATAAGGTGGATCTTTATCTTACCTAAGAAGATAAAGTGGGAATCTTCACTCCGCCAGGGCAAATTTCCAAGGAGCTCATTTATTCCATGTCTTTCAAACTTTCATGAGATACATTTCTCTTTCACATTGTTGCTGATTTCCAAACAGCTGTCAGCTAGTTTTTTCCTCCCCCTTTCCTATTCTTCACTATTTTGATAGCAAAGCTCATAGAATTAGAGGACTTAGAAGATGCTTTGTAAACATTGCCACAAAGGAACTGCTGAAATGATTCACAGGAAGACTGGTCAGTTGGGAGAAAGATCCTAAAGATGTTACACTGGTTTTCAACAACATGCTTAGAGAATTCTTGAAGCAGATAGGTGTCAACCCAGTGAAAACAACATTTTGATTTATTTTTTTTTTAAGTTTATGGTGATTGTGTCGGTTTCTAAAATAAGCAAATATTCAAGTCAAGAGATGTTTTGTTTTTTCTTCTGCCAAGAATGGGGTTAGGGGAGCAAAGACACAATTTGGGAAAGGACATATGTGCTATTATAGGGATCACCTTTAAGTTTCTGGGAAGGAATGGGCACGGGTGAGTAGGTTGGCTCAACATTGTCCTGCACTGCTTATTAGGACCTGAGACATGCAAGGGAAATGTGGGTGACATCAGGGCACCCAGGGCACAGCCCCACTAACTGCTGTGCTGAGTTTCTGTAGCCTGCCACGTTTCCCTTGGTGAAGTAAATGAAGATCAAGGAGTCATTTTATGATGTCCTGGTGCTGAGAATAATAAATGTCTTGTTACAAACAGATGTAACAATGGTTTTTTTCTGGATTATTATCAGGGTGGTCAGCTCTGGGTTAAGCACCCACATCCAATTTGTACAATAATATTGATACATAGGGCTACGCTTATTACTGCTCAAGCATTCTGTTTTAATAATTGTGTTTTACTTCTAAAGGTTAAATAAAAGCAAAAAATGGGGCTAAACTATCAAACTGTTCCCCTATTTGTTTTCTCCAGTGTACAACATATATATGTATATATTTTATTTTATTGAAGATGCAGTAGGATACCTGCCATTTAAGAAAATAAATAGAAAATTTAAAATCCCAACAAATGAGAAAAAGAAATTCAGTACCCAAGAATAGGGCTGGTCCAGCACCACCCCGAAGTAGGCTGTGGTTTATGGACTGAAGAGCCTTGCTCCCTTTACATTCGCTCATGCTCCCACACAAGGCTAGCAGTAGAAATGCTTGAATTCTGCTTGGCTTGCCAAGGGGACTCAGGAGTCAACCAAGGGAACTATTTGGCTCCACGAGGAATGGACACCTCAGGATGCTTCCTGAACAGGGCCTAGTCAGGAAGTAGCCTGGATGTGCATAGTCATGGTCACCTTATGAAAATGTGTGGCAGGTGGCTCTCAGGAAAAACACCAAGCCTGGATCATCTGTGTGGCAGCTTTGCCTGGGGAGGTAACAGCTCCAAATTGAAACTGAACTGCATCCTACATGCTTTACCAAAGCAGTGATGAGAGTGATCAGTGCATGTGGTGTGAGTGGTAGGTTTAAAAAAAAGGGAATGTTTTACGCTCAGTGTTTCCTCTGTCTTTGGGCTACTCAATCTGGACAATAGGTAACCATTCTTTTCAAGGAATCAACCCAACTTTGCTGGCTTGGTTTGTGGTTTGTTTCATCCCTAGCTATGAGCATGCTTTGGTCTATAAACGTGGCTTGTCTCATAATACATTCCCTTTCTGTAATTTTTTAAATTTTTTATTTCCATAGGTTTTTGGAGAACATGAGGTATTTGGTTACATGAGTAAGTTCTTTAGTGGTGATTTGTGAGATTTTGGTGCACACATCACCCGAGCAGTATACACTGAACTCAATTTGTAGTCTTTTACCCCTCATGCCTTTCCCACTCTTTCCCTTGAGTCCCCAAAGTCCACTGTATCATTCTTATGCCTTTGCATCTGCATAGCTTAGCTCCCACTTAAGAGTGAGAACATGCAATGTTTGGTTTTCCATTCCTGAGATACTTCACTTAGAATAATAGTCTCCAATCCCATCCAGGTTATTATGAATGCCATTAATTCATTCCTTTTTATGGCTGAATAGTATTCCATCACATATATGTATTTATGCATATATATATATATACATATGCATATATATATACATATACATACACACACACACACACACACACACACATAAATATATACCACAGTTTATTCACTCATTGATTCACGGGCATTTAGGCTGGTTCCACATTTTTGCAATTGCTAATTGTGCTGTTATAAACGTGCATGTGCAAGTATCTTTTTTGTGTAATGACTTCTTTTCCTCTGGGTAGATAACCAGTAAGATTGCTGGATCAAATGGTAGTTCTACTTTTATGAATTGTCCTTGTTTTTCTTTAAAAGTTAATACTTTTGATCACTATAGTTTGTTAGTGTTGGATTGTTTCCACTTTGAAATTTCTAAACTTTTCCCCTTCATAATGTTAAAACAAGTTATGTTAGATGCCCTTTCAACATGAAAGGTCTGTAGTTAAGATATTACATATATTTTATTGTTTATAATAAAAATCTAGACATAAGAAGTGCCAAGTGTTAATTATAATATTTTGCACAGTATCTTTTTTCCCATGATGTGTTAATATCTACAATTTCATTAAATGTTGATGTTATTCTCTATTGAGATTCAGAAGCCTAGGGAGCTATGTGTTCATTTTGGTTATTTTTGTTGTTATTTCCCTGAAGCAAAAGACTACATGGCCTTCAGTGCAACAACCTCAGTCCAATTCTGAAGTTTATTATACTTGCTTGCCTCTTGGCTATTTAACTTCTGAGTGCAAATCATTGAACTCCCTAATGAAGTATTGTAGAGAATAAATTAAAATGAATAAAGAAAAATACTTCCTCTTCAAGGAGGTTCATGAAAAGGACTCTAGCAAGTATGCTGGAATTTAGATTTCTTATGAGTTTAAGATTATACCACTGGACTGGGAAAGAATTTCCAGGACTCTAATGAAGAAACGATGGCTTCTTAAAACATCTAACCCAGATCAAGTAGAATAAGTTTAATGAATGGGACTAAACAAACTGATGGCAATATTTTCGAGTGACTTTTTGCTTAACATTTTGCTGTTTTTTTTAAATTTTTTGTTTTCCAGATTTGAGAAAACTTTTAAAAAGCTATCTATAGCATACAGCAATTTGGTAAAGTATACTTTTATAAATAAAAATGGAAATATTTATTTTTTCTTCCTACCTGTGGCTGCAGTCTTCAGAGAGCTCTTATTGATATTTTTATTTTATGGCAACATAGTTATTTGCATTAATTCAATAAAAATCTATTCTCTTTGTAACAGGATAGAATTACAAACATTGGTTATATTATAAATGGTTTGACTTGAATGTGATATTTGAGACTATGCACAGGATGCCTAGCTTCAAGGATTCCCAAGCTCACAGTGAGTGAATAAACATTTTTACCTCTTGACAGGCCAGGAACCTCCAGATATATTGGAGACCTCAAGAAGAGAGAAATTCATGCAGATTTTTAGATACTGCAGCCAAAGTCTGATGTTCGCCCTCCTTTGACTTCTGACCCTTGAAAGGCTTTTAAAAGTCTAATCTGAGATTTCTTATCAAAAGTTCCATCAAAATAAACTTAAAAACAGCCCATGTTTCATCCCTTTTCTTGCTATACTGTTGTCAATAATCATGCCAAGTTTAATGAGACTAAACTTATTCAGCACACAATTTAGTCTTACTCTGATTATCTTTAGTAGAAATAGGGATGATTGTACAGAGAAAAATTATGTTTCTGAAGAAAAACTGCAGTACACCTGTTATTAGATTGTAGTTTTCTTTGTTGTTTTCAAGTTTTTGTCATCTATCTCTAAATTAGACAGGGCACTTAATTATTCTAATTTCCTCCAACGTCTGGCTACGATTCTCCAACTAAGAACATAAACTGCCTTTGTTCCTAAAGTCCTACAAGTTGGAGCCAGAAAACTCCATGTAAATTTCAAGAGAGAAATCTCATGGCTATTGTGTGGGCTACAAAGAGAATTGACTAAAATGCCCCATGCTATACCCAGGAACATTCAAACTACAAACCAGAGTAAGAAGTTGATGACATCACAGTGTGGAAAGCTTTTCCCAAGACATTGTAACAAAACTGGACTCTTATCCTTCTTATTTTTTTTTTCTTGCTTATGCCTACATTTTTCACTTGGCAGAATAACGCTGTGGTTAGAATTTCACATTCAGTAGCTTCCGTAACTGAATGAAGTTTTGGATCTGTCGTGTCAAACCCACATCTTTACATGACCTAAGGGATCCTTTAGTCCACCCAGTGGGTAACTATGGCAACATCCCTAATTTATTTGCCACCTTGGGTTTCATTGCAGGCTTCACCGCAAAGGCTATTGCCGCCCAGCAGTGCTCATTAAAGTATCTTGCTGAGTAGCCGTAGATAACACAACAGGACAGGATGAGATAACTCTCAATTATCTACTGGTTGAACAAGAATGTCTGTGCCATTGCTAATAACTACATGCTGTACCTGAATATATTTCTCTGGGGAAGTCAAGACCTAATTGCATAAAATAGCAAGACAGGCTTTATGGCTACAACAGATCTCACTCAGTCTCACATAGACTTTTGATTCATTAGTTGGCTGCCTTTGGGTCCATGTTCATAGACAATATTTCATGTTACTATTAATTTTGTACCGCATCATTCTTTTTAAACTTTTTATCTGTTTCCTGTCCAACCTCTGCAGAAATGATGCATCTAACAGAATAACACTGGTCCAGAACTTCCAAATGGTAGTCAATGCCTATGGAACTGACAAAATTGAACTTAGCAATGAACTCCAGGCAGATTTATCCTGAGAGCCACTCCTTCTGAACCTCTTTGTTTCTTAAATGTGACTAAAAGGGTTTTGACATCTGCTCTTAGTTGCTGGCCATTCACCTCTGATGCAGGATCAGACTGACTAGGAAAGGTCCACTCCAGCACCAAGAAACAATCAAAACCTAACTATAGGCTGATTAATCAGCAATGCTTTCAGAAAAAATTCTTGGTCAAAGGGGGGAAATGTTAAAGTTACAAGCAAAGAAGTTGACTCACTGAAGTCAAACCACAACAAAATGGAGCTGGGAGAGTATAAAAGAAGGCCCTTCATGCATGGATGTCTCTAAAAGAATTATTGCAAGGACTCCCTGAAAACTACAAAAATTTTAGATACGACGCTTCTATGAAGACATCTTCCCAGCAATAGCCAGTATCACCGATGAGTATTTGTCCATACCAAGCAATAAGCTTCTGGGGCCAAAGAGGTTTATTTTAAAATAATTTACATGAACTTCACCTTTTTTTTTCTTTATTTCTTCTTCTTCTTCAAAAAACAAACAAAAGTGATATATGTGCAGAACGTGCAGGTTTGTTACATAGGTATACGTATGCCATGGTGGTTTGCTACACTTTTCAACCTATCATCTAAGTTCCCTCCCCTCACCCCCCAACCTCCAACAGGCCCCAGCGTGTGTTGTTTCCTTCTCTGTGTCCATTTGTTCTCAATGTTCGAATCCCACTTACGAATAAGAACATGCGGTATTTGGTTTTCTGTTCCTGTGTTAGTTTGCTGAGGATGATGGCTTCCAGTTTCATCCATGTTTCTGCAAAGGACATGCTCTCATTCCTTTTTTATAGCTGCATAGTATTCCATGGTGTATGTGTACCACATTTTCTTTATCCAGTCTATCAGTGATGGGCATTTGGGTTGGGTCCATGTCTTTGCTATTGTAAATAGTGCTGCAATAAATATATATACGTATGTTCCCTTACAGTAGAATGATTTATATTCCTTTGGGTATATACCTAGTAATGGGATTGCTGGGTCAAAAGGTATTTCTAGTTCTAGATCCTTTGAGGAATGCCCATACTGTCTTCCACAATGGTTGAATTAATTCACTTTCCCACCAACAGTGTAAGAGCATTCCCATTTCTCCACATCCTCTCCAGTATTTATTGTTTCCTGACTTTTTAATAATCTCCATTCTAATTGGCGTGAAATGGCATCTCATTGTGGTTTTGATTTGCATTTCTCTGGTGATCAGTGATGTTGAGCTTCTTTTGTATGCTTTTTGGCCACGTAAATGTCTTTTTTTGAGACGTGTCTGTTCATATCCTTTGCCCACTTTTTGATAGCGTTGTTTGTCTTTTTCTTGTAAGCATGTTTAAGTCCCTTGTAAATTCTGGATATTCGATCATTGTCAGATGGGTAGATTGCAAAAATTTTTTCCCAGTCTGTAGGTTGCTTGTTCACTTTGATGATAGTTTTTTTTTTTTTTTTTTTTTTTGCTGTGCAGAAGCTCTTTAGTTTAATTAGATCCCATTGTCAATTTTGGCTTTTGTTGCAATTGCTTTTGGCATTTTTGTCATGAAGTCTTTGCCCACCATGCCTATGTCCTGAATGTTGTTGCCTAGGTTTTCTTCTAGGGTTTTTATGGTTTGGGGTTTTACATTTAAGTCTTTAATCCATCTTGAGTTAATTTTTGTATAAGGTGTAAGGAAGGGGTCCAGTTTCAGTTTCCTGCATATGGCTAGCCAGATTTCCCACATTATTACTGAATATGAGATCCTTTCCCATTGCTTGTTTTTGTCAGGTTTGTTGAAGATCAGGTGGTTGTAGACGTGTGGTGTATTTCTGAGGTCTATGTTCACCTTCATTGGTCTATATGTCTGTTTTGGTACCAGTTCCATGCTGTTTTGGTTACTGAGGCCCTGCAGTAATGAAGTCAGGTAGTGTGATGCCTCCAGTTTTGTTCTTTATGCTTAGGATTGTCTTGGCTATATGGGGTCTTCTTTGATTCCATATGAAATTTCAAATAGGTTTTTCTAATTCTGTGAAGAATGCCAACGGTAGTTTGATGGGGAACTTCACCTTTTACCCTTAAAAAAGCTTCGGCTCCCCCAGCTTTTTCAAATGTGCCTATGGTTCAGTACGGTACACATATCCCAAATTGCAGTTCATTGCTCTTCCCAGATAAACTATTTTGAAAAGTCAGTCTCTCTGCTGTTTATTTTAATAATTTTTAATAGAAGTACATCTTTCTTAAAAGCATAGCAAAAATTTTAAGTACATTCACAATAATAATAATTAGGAAACAAATGATCATTGCTTTGATTTTAAGAATTATTAATTTCTTTAATTTTTCAAGTTGAAATATAGAACATGTTTTATTTAGTTACCAATTTATTTCTGTATTTTTCATGAAACAATTTACTTTGGTAAGAAATTTCAAGGAATCTGTGGCATAAATACATATTTGGTCAATGTTCCTTGACCCAAAGTATTAAGGCTGGGTTGTATTTAATTCAGTGACTAAGTAATTTAGTCAGGTTATTCAATAAATTAATGAGGTAATAATCTATAAATTGTTATAATCTGTCAATCTATAAATCATATGTAAAATTGTATTATAAAAAGCAAATGAGTCTTTCTAACAATAGCTAGTTCCGACAATAAAATAACTTCACTTTTAGTTAGCAAGCCCGTATTACATTTCTAAATATTGAAGTCTGTGCAGTAGTTAATGAACTTTTAGTCAATTATTGAGAAAAAAACTTTTAGTACAGTAGAAGATATAAAAAACATGATTGAGCTCAATTTCTCTTTTTTAAAAAATCACTGATTTCTTGGTCAAACTTTTGCTTCTTTTGGAACTTTTGAACTTTGTGGCCATGTGAAATGGCACTCTGAAACTTCTAGTAGACTCAAATTGAGGTAACTTTCTTGCTCACGACAATTTTATGTCCAGTTTCTAATATAAGCCATTATTTCTAACACATGCCATGGTTCCATGTTTGAACTAATGTTAATACCACCTGCCCCTACATGACTGAGTCTGAGCACATCCCTGGGCCACATCAAGCACCATGGCAGATTAATCATTCCTTATGGTTTTAACAGGCAAGCTGGGGAAAAAAAATAACTGTCTCCTCCAACTTTGGTTATGAGTGAGTTTCTTACCTTTTAATGGTGAAAAATAAACTTATCTGTCATAGGAGAAAATAACATTACACTCATATGGAAGCAGAGGTGAGAAGTGAAGCCTTAGTAGTGATGTCATCGTTGCCAATTACTGAAGCCAGGAAGTTAGGAATCATCAGTCTTTTTCTTTTGAATTAATGTGACAGTAGTCGAGAGAGAGAAAAAAGTAGGCATGCTGTATGTTATTTAGAGGATAAGATCTATAGATTTGAAATTGATTTGGCATAAACCCACAGGAAAGTGAAGAATCAAGCATGTATTCTAAGCTTCTGGCTTGAGCAAGTGAGCAATCAGCAACATCAGCCCTATGACTTACTAGATTTTTACTGAGGTATACTTTGTAATGTAATAGCTGCGAGAAACTGAATATCATTGAAATTTAGAAAAGGTTATGACAATGTCATTGGGTTAATAGATAGCCTTTTCTTACAAAGATTTGTAAAAAATGAGAGGCCCTAGACATTTGCTGTGTATATTATGCATAAAAATACCACCTCCAGTGAATTCGTTTGGAAAAGAAACTCAAAGCAAGGCCAGACAAAGGAAACAAAAAGAAAAGAAACGAAAGGGAAAGGACAGGGAAGAAAAGGCAAGAAAAAACAAGACAGACAAAAAATTGGAAAAATATGACAGAGAGAGCAAGAATTGTATATATCATAATTTTATAATATTTTAAATTTATAAAATTATTTTTTGACTTTTTTTAATTCAAGAAGACCCTGGATATAAGTCCATCAGTATATAAATAATTGCTAAGAACTGGGACTAAATTTTAAATAAACTACACTGTTGAAAAAGCCAATATTTTCAAGAAAATTGACCAAAAGGTATCCTTGTCTTCATTTCCACTGACATCTTATGACTGCCATATTTTTTCAGCTATGGCTCTTTTTCTACCAATGGCATGTCACAAAAATGTGTGAACCTCTGGTCACTCTAATTAGTCATACCAATATTGCATAATTTTACCTCAGAATGTTTTTTCCAACTACATTCTTTCTCCAGGGGCATTTATATTCAATGTTTTTTCCAGGGGCATTTACATTCTGAATACCGTGCCTCAAAGTCAAACTGGTTAGCATTACAATCTTGTCTGGTATTATATATGCATTTATTAATGTACAAATTGACCTCAGAAATAGAATATATTTGTCAGGAGTTTTAGGTCTTGTGTTCCCAACACCTAACAATAGATACTTGTTGAATAAATTATGAAAGGGAAAAATAATTTTTAAGAAATTTTGAAAACTTAAAAAGGAAACAAAGGTGTCACAATGGAAACAAAATTTCACTTTTTTTCCTCTGAGTTTAGAGTAAATCTCAGATTCAAACACATCTGAGGATGTACAATTATCAATTATGTAATTCCAAGGGAAAGTAATTTGTACTTACAGGTTAGATATGATAATCAATTCACTTAATTCTACTCGTTTCCTTTAAAAAAAAAAAAAAAAAGAGGCTGTCAGAAATAATACATCACAGTAAAACCTCCTATCAAACAAGAAAAGATTGTATTTGGGAAAACATTTTCATAGACCTAAATTGAGTAATGTTTCCAACTTACATTTCACCAGTTAAGCTTCCCATTAGAAAATGTGTTTGTATGACACCAGTTCCACTTGCATTTTTTTCCCATAGGTTTCCCAGCAGACGTTTACAATCCTTTAGTGATGTTATAGCCAGAATTGTATTAGGTAATAATATAAAATCCCTAAATTTTATGTACAAACCTTCACTGATATTTTTAGTTATCATGAAAGAATCCTTGTATTTATTTCTATTCTAATTCTCCTCATGTCATTGGTATTTTATATGTATTCATTGTAAACATGTGTTGAATGTTCTAAATTTATACAAGCAAAACAATGTACATATTCTAGAGCTTAATATTTTCCCTCTCCCTGTTTTTTTTTCCGTGGCTTTCTCTTGCTTTCACTATTGCAAACTCTGACCCTGAGAGGCAAGAGTCGTGACCATTTAGTAAGATGTATCGTTGAGTATCATAAAATAGTTGGATAGTCTGCTATTTTTTTATAGTAGCAAAAATAGAATGTTCATATGCTTGCCCATGATTTTTATACATTTTTAAATTTGTCTACCACATGCCTAAATTTACCAAATTAAGTCCGTGTATATAAAACATTTGCACAAATGTTACTCAAGTTGTCTGAAATAAAAATACATGTATTTTGCAATTTAGAGCACATGACACTAAAGATGTATAGCTCCGTTAACTCACCTTCTGAACAAATTTCAGCAAGAAATTTCAGAATGAATATAAAAAAGTTAAGAAATATTCTAATATATAGTAGCTGAAAAGTTTACAGAAGTAAAGAAGAAAGACACAAATTAGTAGATTCTGAAGAATTATCTAAACGAACCCATAACTATTCTCTTTATTTTGGATATTCTATTGTTTCCTTATAATTTGTTTATAAGTTTCCTTATAAATAAACAAATTATAAGGAAACAGTGGAATATCCAAAACAGAATATGCAAGCCAATTAACAATCACCATTTTTACCAACAAAAATATTGAAAGTCAGAAAATTGTGGAATATCTTTGAAGTGCTAATAAATGATAACGGCAAATCTAGAATTTTATGTCAATTAGATTTAGAATTCAAGAGCAGATCAAAATAGAGACATCTTCAGACAATCCAAAAACTGAGAGTTTACTACCAAGAATAGTAACTTTTACAGTATGTACCATAGAATAAAGGATAATTAACTGGATGTAAATTCCAAAATATTAGAAGAAGAAAGGATGTGAAAAAACATATATAAGCAGTCACAATTTTATTTAACAAACACACCAACAATATGTGATTTGTGGGAATAAGAAAAACAACATGAATATAAAATAATGAACAATTTGTAGCAAATATTTTTAAATAATTGCAATTAAAGAGCCCTAAGACTTTGTATTGTTTGGGCTTGGTGTTAGTAAACTTTATATTTTATGTTAATAATGTTTATTAGAATATCAAAATTGCCTAGCAAAAGAAAACTGATAATGTGAATAATTTCCAAAATAAAAGAGATAAGTTACAAAAAATGTTAAAGTAAACAAATGCAAAACAAGGCAAAAAAAAAAAAATCAAAGTGAGAAAGACCAGCAAAGTGAATAAAAGGAAGAAAATATGACTTTAAATATAAAAAAATAAATAAATGAAAACCTAAAAAATAACATGCAAGTTGCCAAAAGAAAACGATTTACTTGACTGAATAAAGGTCGTTAAAGGATTTCTTCAGCTGGTGAGCACCAGGCAAACCTGAAGACTAGGTGGTTCCAGACTGAAGTAGGATCAGGCGTCTAACAGAAGTCTGTGGAGTATGCCTGGTTTAGGCTGGACAGATATTTTCTGCTTTAACTGAAGTTGAGTTTAGGTTTTTGGGTTCTTTTCTGTTTGTTTTTGTTTTATCTGTTTATGTTCCACTTTCAGAGTCTCATTATCCATCGGAACAATATTATATGAGAACAATCTTTGCAGCTGATGGGCTAACCACGTTCCCTGGGTGGGGCAGGGGAAGTAGACAAGAATAAGAATGAAGTGGATGTAAAGGAAGAAGGCAAGGGGCGGGGGATTATTACCCTCTAGTATGTTTGTTTTAATCGCTTTACACGGTTACTAGTTTTCAAATTTACTAAATATTTTATATGATTCAAATCATTAACTGAGAAATTTCTTTCAAATTCAGTGCTCTTTGCAGAGTACTGGCTAGATGTTGGAATCCAAAAATGAACTGTGAAAAAAGGCCCGTGTCCTCAGGAACTTATGTTCAGAAGAAATGGAAAAACAAAATTAAATAAGTGGATAAATACATGTGTGTTGTTTTACTAAGACCTTATTTATTAAATATTTTGCTAAGCCTATAATATTAAATCAGCTATTTATATATCTCTATATAACAATGGTTCTAGAGTCAGGAGGTTAACCTTGTGGATTCCTCAGTGACCTTGAGTAATCACTCAACCAAAATACATTTGTATTTAAATACGAACATAAGTTCGAACATTACGTTGTTACCCTAGCCACTTCACAAAATACGTTCGAACACTAGGTTGTTACCCTAGACACTTCACAAAATATTTGAAAAACACATGGATAGACAATTTGATGATTCTATAAATCTGGTAAATGAATTAGAAATATTATAAAAGGTTTTTCTGAGAGGATACCATCGAGCAAAAAGAAAATGACTAGCATTTGACACTATGTAACTTTAAATCTATATTTCAGGGACCTCTGTCACTTTCTTGGGGAATTGAATCACCTATTCCTACTTAGCAGCATGAAAATGAGTTGAATCTCCAGGTTATAGCATTTGAAGGCATGCCTGAGAGGAGCAGATTCAAAAATCAACAGGTGGTTGATGTTTTCTGTGGGGAGCATTCCTGCCTCAGTCCTGCTGCTGTGACCCATTCCTAAACAGCTTTGGGGTCTACAGTCCCCCTTGGTACCTGCTGGGGATTTGTTCCAGGACCACCACCAATCCTACCACCATCATCCCTTCATAGCAAAAGCCAGAGATGCTCAAGTTTCTTATATAAAATGGCCTAGTATTTGCATATAACTTACACACACCCTCTTGTATACTTTCTATCATTTCCAGATTATTACTTACATTAATAATACTGAATACAATATAAATGCTATGCACATAATTGTTATAAGGATTGTTTTTTATTTGCATTGTTTTATTGTTGTATTTCTTTTTAAAAATTATTCTTGGTATTTCTTTTAACAAATATGTTTGATTCATGGTTAGTTAAATCCACCCACAATGGGGGTATGGAGGGTCAGCTGTATTCAGGAATTTGCATTAACAGACTTAAGAGCCTAGTAGATTCTTTGCTTAAATGAACTCTGTGCAGACACAGCATTCAACATTTCTATTTTGATACTTTAAGCAGACTGCAGTGTTTGACAAGCTATTTCAGTAATATGCAATAATCTTTACAAAATAGACATAGATGTTCTGTGACCCCAAATTCTCTGAAACTCTAAACTCAATTATTGAATCTATAGTGGTGTTTCTGATCAGATTACAAGATGAAGGAAGCAATGGAACTTGGCCTAATGTAATGAAAAATATTGCTATCTCTCCACTGATTATTTTGGATGATGGGAGAGCTGTATAGCCATTTAACTAAAGAGGAATCCTTTCAGGAACTACTCTGAAGTACTTTAAGAGATGGAGTTGCTGAAGAAAAAAGATTGAAAACAATTGGCTTAGCTGTTCAGAGCATGGCAAGAATGTAACTATAATCTGTCATTGTGTGGGCAGACAGATGGCCTGAAAATTGAATAAATTGGAAATCACTGGAAGGCAGCTATTTTGTCCTTGAGTGCATTAGGTATCTTGGAAAAATGTTATTAAATGGTGAACAATTGCTATCGAAAAGTTTCTAGTTGTTTGGAACATAGAGTTACATAAAGTCAAGATTCTATTATTATTCTAATAATAGATAAAATCCGAATGTAAAGAAAATGTTTCCTATGAACTATGTAATTTAATTCTTATCAGAGCAATACTTTAAACAATTATTTGATTAGCCTGTGTTTGTGAATGTATATAAAGTAAGCAATAACCTTATTTTCTCCTCTTTGTAATTTAATTCATTAGAAATTGAGAATCTCAGACTTCTCTCCAGCCCTATTAAATCTGCATCTTCATTTCCAGGTCACTCATACACTGTTTAACTTTGAGAAGCACTGTTGTATATTGTCTTGAGAGTCCACACTATGAAATAAATTGGCCCTTATTTACTCCTCAATTGAAATTCTTCAGACTTTCTTAAAGTTTCTAATTCTAAATAAGTCCCAGTTAGTGGAAATGAACTGAATTTAGTTTAATTTTTTTTATCATGCATTGCTGTCCAAAAGAAGAAAGCTTATTTCTGCCAACTTCTTCTTATCCTCAACTTCCAACCACTGTCACGTCTGTCTTCTTTCTTTTTAATATTTTCAGGTGAATTAGAGGTTTGTCAACCGCAAGAATGAAATATATGGTTTATGGCCTATTTTTATGTAACTGGTCATTCTGAGATCTGGAAAACACTACCTGTGTTTATCTGCAACTAAAATCTAGACACCTGAGCCTACACTGCATAGCGAAACAGGTCACTAGAAAAACACAAGCAATTTAGAAAGGCTTTTAATATTGAACAGTTGCATTTTGTTTCTATTCATGTCTATCGCTTTCTCTTTTTTATTCTAAATTGCTTTATTATATTCTATATTTAATATTCTATCATTAACATGTCAATGACAGTCAATAATAATTGAGGACTCAGGTTTTGTCAATACACTGATTTATAATTAGTACAATATGTTATGAGTTTCCTTCGCACATTAATATTATCAGCTCTTCATTTTTTGTTGTTCACAATATATCTTCAACTACCTTTTTATTTTTAGGCAATGTACATATTACAATTTAAGAATAACATCTTCTTTGTTAAATATTTATTTCCACCCCTTTTCAGAAAATTAGATGGTTTACATTTATTGTTAGAAATAATATAAAGCTTTTCTGGTTTTGTGCTTCTAAATAATATTATTAATATATTCTTTTGTAATTACAAAAGCTCCTTGTTTTTGTTTTGTAATTCCTTTCTCAATAAAATAGAGCTGCAAATATTTTGTTCCTTTAAATATTTCAAATAAATAATTTTCATTTATAATAAAAAATATAAAATATGCCAAAGAATTTATTATTTCAAAAAATATGTCATTCACCAATTTGCTTTTAGATTTGTGAATACAGTCTCATTTTATTTTAATACTTTAATCATAGATCTTAACTTTTTTATAATTAATTTTAATTTGTATTTAACATGGTAATAACATTTTTACTTAATTTTATATTGTTGGGTTAGTAGTCACTGTTAGTACACATAACTATTTTACTTTTTCAACATGTAATTTTCATTAATCTTATTCAGATAAAGTTCATTTTCACTATTTTTCTTCAATTGGAAATATTTCATATTTTAAAGACTTCCATTCCTAACAAATGTGGAATACAACATTTTTAGCTCAAAATATTTTTCAAAACAAAACAGAATTTTTCCAGTCTTCACATATAAAACTAAAGCAACAAGCTCAAGTCTATCCAGACATTTTATACTTCAGAAACGAAAATACTAATCTTACGTGTTTATGGCGGATGTTTTTCTTATAATTTTAGTTAAAAAATATTTGTAGAAGGTTTTTATAGTAATATAGTCAGAAAATTAGTCTGCATTTTTACCTACAAATTAAGCAGTATTTTAAAAATTAGCTCAGGAAATTTTATTTTATATTGTATTTTAGTCTGCATTTGAATGATATTTAAATTCTTAGATTTTCACTTTAGATGTGGGAACTCAGGTGCTTAATTCTATCCTCTTTAATTTTATATCTGTGATTTCTTCTGCTTTGTTTTCAGTTCTATTTTTTTCCTGCACTGCAAAAGAGTTTCTAAAGATTGTATTTAATATTACAAGCTTCATTTAGTGCTCTATCATTTGGCATTTACATTTTTACATAGTTTTAAAATTATATATATTTCTTTGTATTTTTTATCTAATTTTATACAATTTTAAAAATCATGCACCTCTAATATCTATTGACTAGGTTTAGCTTTCATTTCAGAGATAACATTAATAGTGAAAAATATTATCTTAAATGCAAAGATATTCATTATTTAAAAATTGATCAATGACATTCACTAAATTATCACAGGGACGAAAACATAAAATGATCATCTGTAGAGATGCAGAAAAATAATTTGACAAAATTCAGCACTGATTTATAAGAATTATCAGCAAAATAAGAACAGAAATGAAAATTGACCAACAACCAGAAATGACAGCAACAACAAAATACCAAGTCAGTAAAGATGGAGAGAAATAGGGAAGCAGTGAAGGTAGATGTCATTTCTGTTTTTAGTGGTGGAGTACAAGGTGTTCTTGTGCTTAAAGGTCATGTTCTTGTGATAAAACGCACTGCAGAGACAACACAGTTTAATTGGCTGAGGCAGGTGACTCCCTTTAAGCATCAGGGTGGAACAAACTACACGACAAAATGTAATTTTAAAGACCACTCTCATTCAAATGTAATAATATCAAAGCACCCTTAACTCATTAATGAGTGAAACAATGAGTGTCATGGTCTGAACTGTGTTCCCCTCCCCAAACCCGTATGTTCAAGCCCTAACCCCTAGTTATACACATAAGGTAAATGAAACCTCATTTGGACACAAAGTTTTTGCAGATGTAATCAAGCTAAAATTATGTCTGTAGGTGGGACTTAAAATAACATGGGTTGTCTTTATAAGAAGAGGGAACAGAAACAGATAGGATGTGGAGAGGACCATGTGAAGAGAGAAGCTGAGACTGAAAAGGATTTATGTATTAATATTGACAGAAGCCAAGGAACACCATCTGAAGTTCTGATGGCAACATCAGAAGCTAAGAGAAAGGCATGGAAAAGATTCTCACCTAGAGCATCCAGAGGAGAGGTTGGTCCTGCAGACACCTTGTTTTCTGACCTCTGACCTCCGCAACTGTGAGGGAAGAAATTTCTGTTGCTTAAAGACACACAGCTTGTGGTACTTCATTATAGCAGCCCAAGGTAACTAATATAGATGACAAAATTGGTTCCAAGGGTGTTTGAGGAACTGGACCTTTATAGGCATTATTTTCATAATACTGCATTAAGCTATGATAACTGGACTAGATTCAAAATTGGATAATGCCCTAAATGCAATAAAGCTATAATTTTGAGATAAAATTTTAATAGCTTTATGAGATATAATTAACATCTGGTATACTGCACATTTTTGAGGTGTGAAATTTTTAAACATTAACATACGTATATACTTGTAAAACCATCACACTAGAAAGAGATCTCAAGCCTCTTCTTTTGACTTTCAACACATTGTCAATCCAGTACTAATCTGGTTTTATTACCATATATTAGCTTTTATTTTCTACAATTATATATCAGTAGAATTATAGAGTATGAATTCTTTTTGTCTTTTTTCCTTAAGCATAATATTTTTGAGATTCAACAATTTCTTGCATGTTGAAGTAGCACCTTTTTTTATTGTTACGTATTATTTCATTTCATAGACATACCACTATAATTTATTTACTAAACTCTTGACCAGAGGTTCTCAAATGAGGGACATTTTACCTGCCGGGGACATTTCCAATGTTTGGGGACACTTTTGGTTATCAGAGGTTTGTGGAGGAGGGGATAGAGTGTCCACAGGCCAGGGTTCCACAAAGGATAGCTCCCCACAACAAAGAATTAAGCCACTTCAACAGCTAATAGTGCTGAACTTGAGAACGCCGCTCTTGGTGGACAGTTGCATGGTGTCTGTTTTTGACAATAATGAATAAAGGTACTTGTGCAAGCCTTTTTACAGACTTATGCTTTTCTCCCCCCTAGGATAAATGCCTAGGGGTAGAATTGGTACATGTAAGGTAGATTTAGTTATCCAAAGTAGCTGTACTGTGTTACACTCCCACCGTCGATGTATGCAAACTCTAGAGTCTGGTTTCTTGACATCTATGCCAAATATTGGTAACACAATTTTTAAAATAGTAGCTTTTCTAGTAGATGTGTATAATTATCTCATTTTATTTTTTATTACTAACGATATTAAGAAATTTTTCCTTTGCTTATTTGCTATTATATCATTTTTGTGTAGCATCTGTTAGTTTTTATAGCTCTCTTGTTTCTATGTTGTACATTATATTTATATATTCTTGCTCTTATTCATAATAAATAGTATATATAATTGTGTAATTAAAAATAAACATTAAAGTATAAATATATTTACACATTTCTGTAGTTTATCATTATATAATTATTGCTTTCTGAATAAAAAGAAATGTATCCACAGTTTGGATAAAAAGAAGTGCTTTCATGTAGTTTACTAAGACATTTTCTGTGCTTTATATTTGAAGCCTATGCTTTCACTTTTACACATTGTTCCATAATATATTTTGGACTCCTTTAATTTTGAACTCATTCACGCTTTTGTTGTGAGGAAGGACTTGAGGTTTGTTTTCTTCACATTTATCTCGTAGTTCTGCACACTTTGTTAAATAAAATTATCTTTCCCCTTTGAATAACTGCAGTATCTTTGATATTATATTATTCATATAAGCATGGATCTATTTGTGAACTCTATTCCATTCCATTACTCTAATTGTTTATCCATCTACTAATAACACATTCTCTCGATGACTATAGCTTTAAGTTATTGCATGGTGTTAGGAAGTGTGAGTATTCCAACTTTTTTTTCAGCTTTCTATCATTTGTTTTTGCTCTCTTGATGTACATTTTTAAATCAGTGTGTCAATTTATATAAAAATATCTTTTGTGATTATGGTGAGGATTTCTAGAATGATTAATTTGGAAAAACCAAAACCTTTTACACACTAAAATTCACTGAACTTTCAAGCCATGATTATTGTATTAGTTTGTTCCGGCATTGCTATAGAGAAATACAGAAGATTCGACAATTTATGAAGAAAAGAGGTTTAATTGCCCCACTGTTCTGCAGGCTATACAGGAAGGATGATGCTGGCATCTACTTAGCTTCTGGGAAGACTCAGGAAACGCACAATCATGGCAGAAAGCAAAGGGGGACAGGCACGTCACATGGCCAGAACAGCAAGAGAGTGAAAGGGGAAGCTGCTACACACTTTTAAATGACCAGATCTCATGAGAACTCACTCACTCACTATTATGAGAACAGTATCAAGAGGGATGATGCTGAACCACTCATGAGAAATCCACCCCATGATCCAATCACTTCCCATCAGGCCTCACCTCTAACATTGGAGATTACATCATACCAGATTTGGGCAGGGACACACATCAAAACCATCAATTATTGTATGCGACTCCATTTATTTAGAACTTTCCTACATCTCCCAACACTTTTGCTAGTTTCCTATTTAGAGAGATCTTGCATGTAATTTGTTAAAATCATATATACATATTTTATTTTTATTAGTATTTTACATGGATTTGATTTTTATCATTAATTGCTCATTGGAAATATATAGAAATAAGTTAATGGGTTGACTTATTTTTTCTATGATGTGGCTAAAATTACTAGTTTATTCCAGCAGCTGATTTTTACAGTCACTAGAAGTTTATGTGTAGGTAATGGAGTTGTTTAAAAATTTAGAAGTGTATTTTTCATTTCTTAACTGTGTATGTTTTACTTATTTATTTGATTTGTCTCACTGGTTAATTCCTCCCATACAGTAGAGAGAACAATAGTGAAAGAGGACACTTTGTCTTCTTCTGGATCTTAAATGAATAATTTATTAGTTCACACTTCAGTGTGATATTTCCGTAGATGCCTTCTATTTGCTTAAGGATGCTTCTTTGTATTCTATTGGGGCGAGATATTTTTATTATAATTCTATCTTGAAAATGCCAAATGTTTTTTCTGCCTCAGAGGAAGTTTATATATTTTTTTCATTTTACTCAGTTAATGTGGTGAGTTTGAAAATTCAAATACTTGAAAAATCACGTTCCCATCAAACACTGCTTCTTACTGTCCCTTTCTAAGAGGACTACCTTCAACTTGGGCATTTAGAGGATACTTCCCTTCCTATAGCTCAGGGTTTTTTTGTATTTTTTTTATGTTTAAATTTTAGTGATATTTCTTTTATGTGTTTTTAAAATATTTTATGGGCTACTGCATTGACCCATTTGTTTCAACTTTACAGCTCTAGTTAAATATAAAAATTAATAAAATGTCAACACTCAAGTATTACATATATCCCTTGATCTGGTGATTT
Source organism: Homo sapiens (assembly GCF_000001405.40). Classification (NCBI taxonomy): domain Eukaryota; kingdom Metazoa; phylum Chordata; class Mammalia; order Primates; family Hominidae; genus Homo; species Homo sapiens. The sequence goes on from NT_187651.1 coordinate 40,704, forward strand.
AGGACTATGAGAAAAATGCTCAATTTCCCTCGATAGAAGGAAGTATGAACTTTTTTATTTATTTATTACTGTAGTCTCACAGCCTAAAAATCAGTAGGTCTCCACTGGTCAGCAAGCAAATGATCATGATTATTTTTCTGAATTTTTGACAATTTCAGAATAGGCAAGAAAGCTAAGTTTTAAAAATAAAATGCCAACATCAAGAATTTAAAATCAAATTCGTCACAGTGAATCCCAACAGGAAATAGTTCTTCATTTTATGATTACTCAGAGATTTTGCTTGTTGTAGTGGTCTTCCTTCTGGCTCATAATTTTTTGCTACTCTGCAGCAGAAATAATAAGAAATATTTTCCCAGTCCACAGCGGTGAAGGAGAAGAAAACTATAAATCAAAAGTAGCATATTCTGTGGATCATTTATTGAAATAAACACAGTGAGTACAAGATGGGTAATCTATTTGCATAATCAAAGACACCCTTCATCTGTGTCTATTTTTCTCTTTTCTTTTCTTTTCTTTTCTTTTTTTTTTTTTTTGAGACAGAGTCTCACTCTGTTACCCAGGTTGGAGTGCAGTGGCATGATCTTGTCTCACTGCAGACTCCGCCTCTCGGGTTCCAGCAATCTTCCTGCCACAGCTTCCTGAGTAGCTGGCATTACAAGGTATGGGCCACCATGCCCGGCTAATTTTTGTATTTTTATTAGAGATGGGGTTTCGCTATGTTGGCCAGACTGGTCTTGAACTCCTGGCCTCAAGTGATCTGCCCGCCTCAGCCTACCAAAGTGCTGGGTTACAGGCATGAGCGACTTGCCTGGCTATGTCTATTTTTAACATAGTTATAGTGAACTATAATTATTTTTACACAAAAACTATTCTTACAAATGTTATATGTATTTTAAGAGCATACAAACTTACAGGTTTTTTTATTTAATAAAAACCAGTGGCAGATTGATAATGCAGAATATATTATTTATAAAAAATCATTTGTTGTCATACAAACATATATTTTATTTGAAAATTATACTTTTGAATAGCTTTTTGGAAAGTTAAAGTATTCTCATTTATTGCATACGTTTGTCACCAAAATTATACGAAAGAGTGTTTGATTCAAAATGTGTGTGTGTGTGTGTTCCTATATAGGACCCAGATAACACATATATATTAAATAAATAAATACATGTATATATATATATCATGCACACACATTTAAATATAATGTAAATGTGTGTGTGTGTGTGTGTGTGTGTGTGTATGTGTATGTGTATGTGTATGCAGATGCCCCTCTGGAAACAAATTTAAAAAGAATCCCCTCTTTTGAGTGTATAAAGAAGTTCCTTTCTTAAGGAATGGATAACAGGGGTTGGTACTTTGGCTGAATTCCTCTTCCTCTTACTTTCATTAGACTTGGCACTGTTGCATAGAACACAATTTTCCAAAATGTAATGTCTGTGTTATGCCTACAAATGTACCATACATAACAATTTGTCATTTTCTGTAATTACATACTGACCTATTTAACATTTATCTAACCACTTATATATCTTAATCAAAATAAATCAACCCATGTAAATTGTTTATTTCTATTGTCTTTCTCAGTATAATGCACAAGATACCTTTCTATCTCTATATGTATTTGTCATTTTCATGTCTGTCCCTACATGAGTTGACTCTATTTTTCTGTTACATAGATATGTGATGTTAGTACAATATATGTTAACTAAAAATGGATGATGCAACCTTTTAAAATTATGACCATCGCAGTGAAAATTATGTCTCTAAAATATCAGGGGCTTAGGTATTTTCAGATTAAATTAGGAAAAATAGAGTATCTTTCCATTTATTTATGTGGGCAAATTTCCCATTTGTTCACATTAAATCTTTTAATGGCATATTGCCTAAATCTTTCTCAGAAAAGCTTAGCCAAATTGCCTAGGATGTTTCCTTTCTCCCATATTACCATCACTGTTTACCATCATATTTCTAATAATTTTAATTTTGGAACATGAAAATGGTATTTCAATTTAAATGCGTATGTTTTTCTATTTGCAAAGAGATTAAACATCTCTTCAAGTTTTTAAACTATATGCAGCCCTTCTTTTCTGCCATACCTGTTCATTTCCTCAAGCTATTTTTCCATCAGACAGTTTCATGTTTTCTCATTGATTTGAAGCTTCTATTAAAGTATTGTATACACATGGGTAAATGCACATAAGTTTAAAGCTTAGTGAGTTTTAAAATACTATGATCATCCAGAATAAGAAAATGTAATAGTCACACACCTGATTTCCACCCATCCCTCCTAACATAACACTATTCTAACTTTTACCAGTAAGGAATCAAATAGTGTGTGTAGTGTTTTGAACCACATTTTTTTGCTTAATATTATATTTGTGAGACGAATTGACTATATGACCTGCAAATGAAACTATTTATATTTATTTCTCTAATATTTTATTAGGTGATCATATTACAACTTATTTGTTTACTGTACTCTTTATAAGTATTTTAGTCCACTTTTGGGCCACAGTTTGGGGTTATTTTGGTGTTATTCTGAAAAGTGTTTTCATGAGTACACATTTTTTTTTAGCTATATATATGCATGCATTTCTGGAGAAACCATCTTTACAAGTAGAATTTTGGGGCCTAATACATATCTTTATCCAAATTATTTGAACTAAGTTATGCCAATAACATCAATTTGAGTGTTCTAATTAGTCAACATTCTCATCAATACTTTGCACTTTCTCTTCAACTTAGAATTCTAAAATATTCCTTTCAAATTCAGGATTCTGAATGACAAGTACTTACATCTCATTGTGGTTTGAATTATTTTTTCAGGTAACCAATATAAATAAAAACCTTTTAATAAGTTCATTGGTTATTTGAATATTTTATTTTTGAAGTGTCTAAAGTATTTTCTTTCTAATCCAGTCCAGTTATTTTTCTGTGGTTTGCTTCTTGTTGTCTTATTGAGTTCATTGCCTTTTTAATATTCTTTTCCGGTTAACATTTCCCCCTCACTGATCTGAAATGTTTTCATTATATACCACCTTTCCATATCTGTCAATGTCTTGATTTTCTATATGATCTTCATCTATCTGTAGTTATAACTCATTTTAATCATAGAAGCTTTAAGAATTGCTTAATATTTTGTATTGACTCCAAATTCCATTGATTTTATAGGATATTTCTAGCTATTCTTGCTTCTTTATTCCTCCAAGTAAATTTGTCTATTTTTCTAAATCTGGAAAAAGAAATTCTAGAAAATGTCGTTTTGTTATGACACAGAAGATATAAGTTTATTTAAAGAACTGGCACATTTATGATTTTAAGGCTTTTTCAAGAGCATGGAATTTCTTTCCCCGTGCTCAAGTCCAAATTTGTGCCATTCAGAAGTGTTTTCTAGTTTTTTTTATATATAGGTTTTAAACATTTCTGGTTAAGTTTATGCCCTCACATTTTATTTTAGTTTGGTTAATGACGTTTTACATGTGTGAGTTCCCTCAATTATTTCTTTTAAATGTTCTGATTCAATAGGAACACTCTCCTTAGTATCCTTAACAGAAATGATTCTTGTTTATAGAATTGCTAAATAAGTAAAGAAATTTTAAGTTAAATCATGGCAAGGAGTTATAATTATACTAAGCTTTTTTGTTCCTAGAGGTTTTGGCTCACTCATATGGTAATCTATATGAAAATTTTTCTGTGATATCTAATATTAGAAAGATCCTCAGTGATAGAATAGTGTTTCTTCCTAGCTGATTCATACATCTTTCTCTGCCAACATTTTGTTTGTTGAAGTGTTCCCCAACATATGACTCATTGCTTACTAAATCCCTATTGAGCAGCCAAAGCCCTGGTGACTAATTATGTCATTAATTTGGGAAAGTCAGAGACAATAAGACTGTCAGTTGAAACTTTGTAGGAGGTAAAAAAGTCACTGCTGTCAGCTGCAAAGATCCTTAAAACGGTCTTCAGTAAAGTCAAATTTTGTGACAAGAATTATTGCATCAAAGTCGGGGAAATACCTCTTAGATCAAATAAGATACATTGAAAAGCCAAAAATTATTTTTATCTCACTTTGGGTTCTCATAAGGTCTACCCACTGTTACTTGGATATGAGACTTAACAAATGGAAAAGAAGACAGGGGTACTGTCACACTGTATTTTCCTACGGCCTAATGACCACAATGGTTGATGAACTGCAGTAAAGTTTCTATAATATTTTCCATCTATTCATTTGCTCAATCACCTTGTAATGGTTATGTTGGTTAATTCCAGTCTTTCATGGGTAAGCAACAAAATGAGACTTAATTTGAAATATCCAGTATTTTTCTATTCTTACAAATAATTTTCAGGATCAATGCACTGAGGATTAGGAATGGCAATGTGTATTACTACTTTGATACCAACTATATCCAATCTAATGTTGGAATTTGTTTGACAAAGTGTTATGTATTTGAAAACAGGCAGCACTGAATAAAAAGAATATGGGCAAAAGAAAAATGGAAGTGTTTTGAATGGAAGTCTAAAATATTTATTGATCAATGCTGAACTGAGTAAGCAGGAGATGCCTGTACATAAATGACATTATCCTGATCTAGTAACAGGGAGAAGCAGAATATCTGAAAGCTGTTTATTAATTTGATAATAATAAGATTAGAAACATGCAAATCAAGATTAATAGTATTCACTTCTAATTGGGTTTAGGTAGACTTTGACTATTTTGCTTCTGATGTTCTTATATTTTTAATTTTCTATAATGATCATATAACATATAATATTTTCATAATATTAAACATTTTAGAATTAAACTCCATTAGAGTGTATCTTTCCTAAAATAATATAAACATCCAATCTTGTCCTTAACAATTCTGTTCTCAAACATTAGCCTATTCCCTCAAGCCAGTGTTGCTTTCGACCCATATTGTCCATCATTTCAATTTATCTCAAAGTTTTTTATTGCAACAATTAAATGCTTTGAATGATACCCAAGGCATAGTTCTATTTCAACAAAATTTCAAAGTTAATAGTTACATCAAATTTTGTTGGTGCTCATTGAATTTGGTTATTAAAACCATAAGTAGTATGTTTTATGCTGACTGAGGGAGATAAAAGTAGTAATGTTTAATATTCAAACTGTGATGACTGAAAAAAAAATGAGGCCTGTAAAATCTTATTTAACGTCAAATTTTAATTAAACAGGCTTAGCAGACCAAAATTAAAATCTCAATTATTTTTAAATTATTAATGACAGACAACTAGATTGAGTGAACACTGGCATCTCTTTTCAAATAACTTAGTTTAGTGGATGAGTTAAACATAAACTAGTTATTATAATGCAGCGAAGTATGTGAAAAATTTAATTTGAACCCTACTTAGCTTAAAATCCTGACATTCTAGGATGCAAGTCCTGCAAACTTTCCATATGTAATCAACAATTTTCTAAACATGCATGCTGTATCTCTCCTGTGTGACTTTGCATACATCATTCCCACATTCTAGATCATCCCGACCCACCTTAAGTGACTGCTTTTGCATAATCTCCCTTAAAATTCTAACTCAAGCACTGCATCTTTTGAGTCCTTCCCTAACATCTTAACATCTTCCTTCTTTCATTCATCATTAACTATAGTTAGTTATTATAGCACCTGTTAGCACTGTAAAATTATGTGTGTTACACAAGTACAACATGCAGACTAAGGTCGTGTATTACCTAGCCTCATACCAGCGTCACCTAGAACAGCAAAAATGTATGCAGATTAATCACAATATATTTGGATGTACAAAATATATTGAGAGCAAAATATGATGGAAATTTAGGTGATGCTCTTTGAGCATTGCTTCCATTTTCCAATAATGTAACCAGGAATCACTGTTCATGTAATTAAAGAACAATAAGTCTATGTGAATCAAAATATACATATACATGCAAATGTTAAACCTCAGCAGGAAGAGGCCCATTCTCTTGCTTGCTGATATATATATATATATATATATATATATATATATACACACACACACACACACACACACATATATGTATGTTGTGTGTATATGTATATACACACAACAATCTATAGGCTTGCCTTTTAAAATAGTATAAGCAACAAATTTTAAGAGAAACAATAATGAGTGTGTAAAACATTAGATATGTGTATGTACCTTTGCTATTATTTGTGGAAATGGGGCTATAAAATAAGCTCCTTTATTTTCTTTTGTAAAACATTTCTTTAATATGAAGTAATGCAATACGTATTTATGTTCTAAGTGTTAATTTCCTTGGATATAAAATAATATCTTGTTCCTTTGATTCTCTTACATATAAGTGTATTTACTCAGATATTACTCCAAATACACCAGATATATTCAAAGTTGAAAAAATATATACTTTGGAATGTATTATCACCTTATTTCACATGAAGAAATCAAAATCTCTGGCATCCAAGTGCATTCCAGCCTGAAAAAAATTATGCAATTGTGAATTTAACAGAAAGCAAATTGCTCACATATGGAGTCAACGTGAAGCTATATCAATATTTATTAAAAGTTTATATATTACTTTTGATCCCCTGGAGAGAAATACAAAATTCAAATAATTATTCTATTTTTATATCCCAATTTGTAATTATGAAACTCTAGCATTTTAATTTTTCTCTTTCAAGTTTACCTGAAGCTTCACAAAATTCTGTGAGGAATCTATTATAACAGGTATTTTGCTTATTTCCACACAAACAGAAGGAAATGTGTATTTTCTATGCCCTGAAGAATTTACTCTTTTCTGTAAATGACATATGGTAGTTAATTCTTTTTGGTAATAAAATATTCCTGTTTTTAGGCCGAACAGCCTTTTCTTTAAATTCAGGGCAACATATCAAAGCTTTGCCGTAATAATACAGAGTAATCGACTAAAGTAATATAGAATTTAAATAACAAAGAGTTTAAACAATTTAATATGTCTTCTATTAATTTCAAACTGAAATTTTACAGAAATTATTTGGAATATGCTGCCAGAGTACACACACACACACACACACACACACACACACAATCACACGCTCACATCACACACTCACACCCAGCTAAAGGAAATTACCACAGCTATAATGATTTCATTAAATATCTGAAATTAAAGTTTCTTTTGGATTTTCAGCTGAAGCTCATAGTAAATAAAAGTAATATGATCATTGTTGCATACTGTGAATCAACAGCACCCAGAAACCTTCGACTTTCTATATTTACACAGCTTAATTATCCGAACTGAAACCTGAGGCCATCTGTGTCAACATGATTTCACAATTCATTCCAGAAAATTATTTTTCAGGAAAGTAAGGCTGCAAACCAATAAATAACTTATTGTTTGCTTCAGGAAATTTCTGCAAATCAATTTATGTCAGTAAGCAACTCTCCTCTGGGCCAACAGATTGCTCACCTGGGCAGGTAGCAGCTTGTGTCAATTAACAGTTTACTTATGAAGACTTCTGTCATGGCCCTTAACTCACAGTGTCCCCCAATCCTAAACTCTATGTCCTGAACATTACCTATTCTTATCAGTCATTGGTCTTGAAAGGCCCCGGGCAACCATTTGAGCCCAGACTTCAATACTCTATCAATACCACCTTATCATCTACTTTTCTAACATGACCCCTCAAGGTGGTGACCCCACTTACAGTCGTCTTTTATTGAATTTAGCTTTCCCTAATCAACATGCTAGTCTATTGGATGCAGTGTCGGAGGCAAAAATCACAGAGGTTCTGAAAGCATCAGCCCATGGTTTTCTAAACATCATGGTTCAAGACCCTTAACACGAAACAGAAAGTTTCCCCGAGGCGCCGTAAACAACCCATTTGGGCGCTTCCCTGATAATTATAGTGAAATCTGGCATCTAATTTTTTTTGGTGGACTCTCAAATTTTATATTTATGTTTTGATTCCTAGAAATAAAAAATGTTTTTATAAGGAATTCTTTGATCGTTTATGTTTTATTCTTGATAGAAACCTACTACTTTATAACTTCGTTTATGTTTTACTCTTGATAGAAACCTACTACTTTATAACTTCGAACATTATTGATGTTCTTCCTGTATTTCTGAGAGGTGACAGCTTGCTGGCATCCCTCGCTGGCTCTCGGCGCCTCCTCGGCCTCAGCCCACTCTGGCCGCGCTTGAGGAGCCCTTCAGCCCGCAGCTGCACCGTGGGAGCCCCTCTCTGTGCTGGCTGAGGCCTGAGCGGGCTCCCTCTGCTGGCGGGGAGGTGTGGAGGGAGAGGCGCGGGCCGGAACCTGGGCTGCCTGCGGTGCTCGCAGGTCCAGCGCGACTTCCGGGTGGGCGCGGGCTCAGCGCGACTTCCGGGTGGGCGCGGGCTCGGCGCGCCCCGCACTCTTGAGCGGTCGGCTGGCGCCGCCGGCCCTGGGCAGTGAGAGGCTTAGCACCCGGGCCAGCAGCTGCGGAGGGTGCACTGGGTCCTCCAACAGTGATGGCCCGCCGGCGCCGCGCTCGAATTTTCGCTGGGCCTCAGCCACCTCCCCGCGGGGCAAGGGGGCAGGGCTCGGGACCTGCAGCCTGCCATGCTGGAGCCCTCACCCTCCTCCCCGCCCCCGTCCCCTGCCCCCCGCCCCCCGCCCCCCAACCGCAGGCTCCCGCGCGCCACCCCGAGGGGACGGGCGCCACCTCCTGCTACGCGGCACCCGGTCCCGTCAACCGCCCAACGGCTGAGGAGTGCGGCAGCGCGCCAGAGACTGGCGGGCAGCTCCGCCCGCGGCCGGGATGCACTAGGCAAAGCCAGCTGGGCTCCTGAGTCCGGTGGGTACTTGGAGAACTTACTACGTCTAGCTGGAGGATTGTAAATGCACCAATCAGCATGCTGTGTCTAGCTCAAGGTATGTGAACGCACTAATCAGTGCTCTGTGTCTAGCTAATCTGGTGGGGACTTGGAGAACTTTTGTGTCTAGCTAAAGGATTGTAAACAGACCAAGCAGCTCTCTGTAAAATGAACCCATCAGCTCTCTATGAAATGGACCGATCATCAGGATGTGGGTGGGGTGAGATAAGGGAATAAAAGCAGCTGCCAGAGCCAGCAACAGCAACGTGCTAGGGTCCCTTTCCACAGTGTGGAGGCTTTGTTCTTTTGCTCTTTGCAGTCTTGCTGCTGCTCACTGTTTGGCTCTGCGCAGAGCTGTAACACTCACCAAGAAGGTCTGCAGCTTCACCCAAAGATATTCCAAAGATACAGAAAACTATATAGAGACATTTTGTATAGTTCTAATAGCATATAATCCACAGGTCCCTGATCTATAATATGGGTTTTTTATAAAATTGTTTTTTTGTATGCTATGAGGAATTTTACTTGTTAAAAAGAAGAGGTGGAAAGGCAGAATATGAAAACTATGAAAATGACATAAGAGACTATGAATTAGGTGAGAAACCAGAGAGGTTTAGAAACCTGTAGACATTGTGCATCCCCCAATGCCTTTCCCCTTAAAAAAATTATATTCTAATCCAGTCCATCAAATAAAGTCTACGTTCATTAGAAACATATTCTCTTGGTTTTTATAATTTCAGTTTTTTTCAGACACAGATAGTGCATATGCAGATTTGTTACTTTTGTACAGTGCACCCTGGTAGTGAGCATAGTACCCAGTAGGTAGTTATTCAGCCCATGCTCCCCTCTTTCCCCCACCCCCGTAGCCTGCAGCATGTCTTGTTCCCATGTTAATGTTCCTGTGTGCTCAGTGTTTAGGTTCCACTTATAAGTGAGAATGTGTGGTATCTGGTTTTCTTTTCCAGCACTAATTTGCTTAGGATTATGTCCTTAGCTCCATCCATGTTGCTGCAAAGGACATAATTTCATTCTTTTTTATGGAGGCATAGTATTCCATAGTGTATATGTACCACATTTTCTTTATCCAATCCACCTTTGATGGGCACCTAGGTTCATTCCATGTCTGTGCTATTGTGAATAACATGCTGATGAACGTACGAGTGCATGTATATTTTTCTGGTAGAATAATTTATTTTCCTTTGAATATATACCCAGTAATGGGAATGCTGGGTCGAAGGGTATCTCTGTTTTAAGTTCTTAGAGAAATCTCCAAAATACTTTCCACAGTACCTGAACCAGTTTACATTTCCATCAACAGTAGTGTATAAGCATTCCCTTTACTCTGCAGCCTGGCCAACATCTAATTTTTTTACTTTTTAATTATAGCTGTTGTGACTGATGTGAGATGGCATCTTACTGTGGTTTTTGCTTGCATTTATTTATTTGATGATTAGTAAGGATGAGTGTTTTTTCATATACTTGAGTGTCTTCTTTTGAGAAAATATCTGTTCATGTCCTTTGCCTTTTCTTGATTTAAATTTTAAGTTCTGGGGTACATGTGCAGGAAGCGCAGTTTTGTTACATAGATAAACGTGTGTGGTGGTGGTTTGCTGGCACCTATCAACCCATCACCTAGGTATTAAGCCCAGCATGCATTAGCTATTTTTCCTGATGCTCTCCCTCTCCTCAACCCCCTACAGAAAATTATAGTGTGTGTTGTGTGTTGTTCCCCATTGTGTGTTGTTCCCCTCCCTGTGTCCATGTGTTCCCATTGTTCAGCTCCCACTTATAAGTGAGAAGATGCGGAGTTTGATTTTCTGCTCCTGTATTAGCTTTGCCCTTTTTAACTGGGGTTGTTTTATGCTTGTCATTTTTTCTTCCTTATGGATTTGTTATATTAGATCTTTATCAGATGCATAGTTTGCAAATATTTTCTCCCATTCTGTAAGTTGTCTGTTTACTCTGTGGATAGTTTCTATTGCTGTGCAGAAGCTTTTTAGTTTGATTGACTTTCACTTGTCAATTTCGTTTTTGTTGCAATTGTTTTTAGAAACTTAGCCAAAAATTATTTGCCAAGGCCAATGTCGAGAAAAATATTTCCTAGGTTTTGTTTTAGAGTTTTCATAATCTGAAGTCTTACATTTTAACCTTTAATCCATCTTGAATTAATTTGTGTGTATGGTGGAAGGTAAGCATCCAGTTTCACTCTTCTGCTTATGGCTAGCGAATTATCCCAGCACCATTTATTGAATAGGGTGCCTTTTCCCCATTGTTTGTTTTTGTTGGCCTTGTCCACGATCCAGATGGTGGTAAGTGTGCAGCTTTATTTTTGAGTGTTCTATTCTGTTCCATTGGCTTAAGTGTCTGCTTTTGTAACAGTATCATGGTTAGTGTACACTTATAGTATAGCTGGAAATTGGGTAGTATGACGCCTCTCTGGCTTTATTATTTTTGCTCAGAATTGCTTTGGCCATTCTGGCTTTTGGGGGTGTTCCATATAAATTTAGAATAGTTTTTTCTAATTCTGTGAAGAATGATGTTGGTAGTTTCATGGAGATAGCCTTGAATCTACAAGTTGCTTTGGGCAGTGTGGCCATTTTAACATATTGATTCTTTTAATCTGTAAACATGGAATGTTATTCCATTTATTTGTGTTATCAAAATCTCCTTCCTTCCTTCCTTCCTTCCTTCCTTCCTTCCTTCCTTCCTTCCTTCCCTCCCTCCCTCCCTCCCTTCCTCCCTTCCTTCCCTCCCTCCCTCCCTTCCTCCCTTCCTTCCATCCTTCCTTCCTTCCTTTTCTTATTTCCTTCCTTTTTTGAGACAGAGTCTCACCCTTTCACCCAGGCTGGAATGCAGTGGAGTTATTATAGCTCACTGCAGGCTTGAACTCCTGGCCTCAAGCCGTCAGGGTAGTTAGGACTACAGGCATGTGCCACCATGCCTCGCTATTTAAAAAAAAAAAAAAAATTTGTATAGATGAGGTTCCACTATGTTGCCTAGGTTGGTCTCAAAACTCCTGGGTCCAAGCGATATACCTGCCTCGGCCTCCCAAAGGCATGAACCACTGCATCCAGCTTCAGATTTCAGCTGTGTTTTGTAATTCTCCTTGTGGAGATCGTTCACATCTTAGGTTAGTTGTATTTGCAGGGATTTTATTTTCATCCTAGGTGTTGTAAATATGATTGTGTTCTTAATTTAACTCTCAACCTGGATGTTGTTGTTGTATAGAAATGCTACTAATTGTTGTACATTGATTTTGTATCCTGAAACCTTGCTAAAATCCTTTATCATTTCTAGTAGACTTTTGTTGAAGTCTTTAAGCTTTTTTAGGTATAGAAGGATATTGTTGGGTGAAGACAGATAGTTTGCCTTAATCTTTACTTCCTATTTGGGTGCTTTTCTCTTTTTCTGTTGCAAGATTGCTCTGACTAGGATTTCTGGTACTATGTTGAATAGGAGTGGTAAGAGTGGATGTCCTTGGCTTGTTTCATTTCTAAAGGAGAATGCTTTCAGCTTTTGCCCATTGAGTATTATATTGGCTGTGGGTTTGTTGTAGATAGCTCTTTTTTATTTTGAAGTATGCTTATTTGAAGCCTCAACTGTTGAGGGTTTTTTTTTGTTTTGTTTTTTCATGAAGGGACACTGGATTTAATTGAAAGCTTTTCCGGCATCCGTTGAGATGATCATATGGTTTTTGATTTAATTCTGTTTATCTGGTGAATCACATTTATTGATTTGCATATGTTGAACCAGCCATGCATCCCAGGAATAAAGCCTGTATTGTCATAGTAGATTAATTTTTTGATATGCTGCTGATGGATTCAGTTTGCTAGTACTTTGTTGAGAATTTTTGAGTCTATGTTCGTCAACAGTGGTCACCTGAATGTTCTTTTTTTTTGCGTCTCTGCCAGGTTTTGGTATTAAGCTGCTTCTGGCTTCACAGCGTGAGTTAGGAAGGAGTACGTTCTCTTCAACTTTTCTGGAATAGTTTCAGTAGAATTGTACTAGTTCTTCGTTATACTTCCGGTAGAATTTTGCTGTGAATCCATATAGTCCAGGGCTTTTTGGCTTGGTAGATTTTTTATTACTTATTCAATTTCAGAGCTTCATATTGGTCTCTTCAGTATTTCAGTATCTTCCTGATTCAATCTTGGAAGATTGCCTGTTTTCAGAAATTTATCCATTTCCTCTAGATTTTCTAATTTTTGTGTCTAGAGTTATTCCTAGTATTCTCTGAGGATTATTTTGTATGTCTGTGGGACCATTTTTAATGTCGTTTTTGTCATTCTGATTTATATATTTAGATCTTCTCTTTTTTTTCTTTGTTTATCTAGCTAAAGGTCTATCAATCTCTTTTTTTAAATCAACTCTTGGTTTCATTAATCTTTTGTATGGATTTTTGCATCTCAATTTCATTCAGATCTTCTCTATTTTAGTTGTTTCTTTTCATTCCTAGCGTTGATGTAGGGTTGTTCTTTTTTTTTTCTTCCCTAGTTCCTTTAGGTGTAGTGTTAGATTGTTAATTTGAAGTATTTCTAACTTTATGATAAAGGCATTTAAACGTTCCTCTTAACACTGATTTAGCTGCATCCCAGAGATTTTGGTAATTTGTGTTCCCATTTTCATTAATTTCACTTTCTTAAAATTTCTCCCTTAATTTTGATTTTCACACAGAAGTTATTCAGGAGAAAGTTGTTTAATTTTCATCTATTTGTGTAGTGTTGAGAGATGTTGGTATTTATTTATATTTTGATTACATTGAGATCTAAGAGTGTGCTTGATATGATTTCATTTTTTAAAATTTATCCAGACTTGCTTTATGACCAAGCATGTGGTCAATGTTAGAATATGTTCCCTGTGCAGATGAGAAGAATGTATATTCTGTGGTTATTGAGTGGAGTGTTCTGTAGATGTCTTATTAGGTCCAGATGGTCAAGGGTGAAGTTTAAGTACACAGTTTCTTCCTTAGTTATCTGCTTTGATGATCCAGTGCTGCCAGCGGGGGTGTTGAAGTCTCCTACAGTTATTGGGTGGTCGTCTGTCTTTTTGTAGTCCAAAAAGAACTTGTTTTATGAATCTGGGTGCTCCATGTTGGGTGCATTTATATTTAGGGTACTTAAGTATTCTTGTTTGATCATATACTTTCTCATGACGTAATGCTCTTCATTCTTCAATTGTTCTTTTTAATTTTGATTAAAGTCTGTTTTATCTGATATAAGAATAGTTACTCCTGCTTTTTTGTTATCATTTGCATGGCAGATTTTCTCCATCCCCTTATTTTGGGCCAGTGGCTGTCATTACATATGAGGTGAGTCTCTTGAAGACTGCAGATGGTGAGCCTTGCATTTTTATCCAGTTTGCCATTGTATGTCATTTAAGTGGGGGTGTTTAGCCTATTTACATTTATGGTTAATGTTGATACATGAGATTTTGATCCTATCATCACGTTTGTAGCTGGTTTTTAGGTAGACTTGATTGTGTAGATACTTTATAGTGCCTGTGAGCTATGTACTTAAGTGGGTTTTTGTGGTAGCAGGTGTCATTCTTTTTACTCAATGTATAGCACTCCCTTAAGGACCTTTCATAAGGCTGGTCAAGTTGAAATTGATTCCCTCAGTATTTGCTTATCTGAGGAGAAATTTGTTTCTTCTTCACTTAGGAAGTTTAGTTTAGTGAAATATAAAATTATTGCCTGGAATTTATTTTCATTAATGATGTTGGACATAGGCCCTTAATCTCTTCTGGCTTGTAAGGTTTTTGCTGAGATATTTACTACTAGCCTAGTGGAGTTCTTGCTTTATGAAAACATGACCTTTCTCTCTAGCTGCCTTTAAGATTTTTTTTTTCTTTTGTATTTACTTTGGTGAATATGATGACTGTGTGCCTTAGGGATAGTCACCTTTTATAGTGCCTAGCTGGGTTTGCTGTATTTTTTGGATTTACATGTCACTCTCTCTAGCGAGGTTAGGAAAATTTTCATAGACTCTATTCTCAAATCTATTTTCCAAGTTGCCTTTTCTCTTTGTTTCTCTTCTAGGAATGACAATGAGTCGTAGATTTGGTCTCTTTATATAATTCCATATTTCTTAAAGCTTTGGTTCATTTTCTTTTTTTAATTCTTTTTTAAAATTTTCTTTTGACTCAGTTGATTCAACGAACCAGTCTTTGAGCTCTGAGATTCTTTCCTTAGCTTGGCCTACCTTCTGTTAATATTTCTTACTGTATTATAAAATTCTTATACTGAATTTTTTCTGCTCTAGAAATTCAGTGTGGCTGTTGTTTAAAATGGCAATTTCATCTTTCAGCACTTACTTAGATTGCTTTACTGGATTACTTGGCTAGGGTTTCAACTTTCTCCTTAATGTTCATGAGCTTCCCTGCCATCGAGGTTCTGTATTCTATGTCTGTTGCAATTATTTTAGACTGATTAAGAACCATTGCTTGGTAGCTAGTGGGCTAATTTTGAGGTAAGAGGACACTCTAGCTTTTTGAATTGCCAGAGTTCTTGCACTGATTTTTTCTCTTCTGGTAGGGTTAGTGTTCCTTTAACTGTAGTGTATGTTGAGTATAGGCAATTGGTTTTGTTTCTGGATGCTTTCAAAGGGTCAGGGCTTTCTCTGTCCAGGATTTTTATGTATGAGTAATTCTTGTGTTTGGTTTCACAGGTGTATATGTAGCAGGATAAATTTTGATGTTGTAGTTTGGGATGTGATCCAATGCATAGTGCTTAAGAGTGATGGCCAGTGGCTAGCCTAATACCCAGTGGCATGGCTGTTTTATACTTCCTTTTGTTTGCAGGTGTGCTCTATAGTGGGGGTGGGAGAGATGCCTCCATCACCAGATGTGCTCCTGGGCCCTGGGGGAGTCTCCTGCAATCACTGTGTTTCTTGTGTTAGGTGTTCTAGGCCACAGGTCTCTCTCAGGCAGAGGCCCTTTCCTAGGAGCCATTCTGGGGAACTAGCTGTAGTGTTTGGGTTCCCTGCACAGGCTTCCTCCCTCTTCAGCTCAGCTTCATTGCTGCCTCTGCATCCACTCAGCATTTTCTCTCTCAAGATCTGCCTAAATTACGGTGGTTTACTCCATAATTTGGTATCTCTCAGTGGGGGTGGTGCTTCCTGACCATGTCAAATTGACCATGTATTGTCACAGAATGAAAACCTCTTTGATAGACTTTGTAACATTTTTGAATATTACATTCAGGAGTAAAATCTTACGCAGTGTGATCCCAGCTATCTCTTCACTTTTGAGAATAACCTTAAGTAATTAAAGGATAATTAAATATGTAATTAAAAATTGAAAAATATAACAGCTACACTTCCAGATGTCAACTTCTTTCAGAAAATTTTAAAATCTCTTTAAAGAAAGGTAAATTGAGACCAAAATAGATTAATAGCTTTA
The DNA here is from genome assembly GCF_000001405.40 of Homo sapiens. Taxonomy (NCBI): domain Eukaryota; kingdom Metazoa; phylum Chordata; class Mammalia; order Primates; family Hominidae; genus Homo; species Homo sapiens. The sequence continues at coordinate 56,918 of NT_187651.1, forward strand.
TAAAAATAAGTGCTCAAGGAGGGTGTTACATGTGAAAATTAAACTTGGAATTTGTCATTTTACCCGTAAAATTACTGAGAGTAATTTCCTTGAAATGGAAATAACTTTACAAATTTTTAATTAACAAAAATGCTGAAATATTACTCCGCTTACCTTTATGTAACCTCTTCCTTGAAAACAACAATTTACTCATCTGGTGTGTGACTCTGATAACCTTCAATCATTCTCTATATCTGACACCATGACTAGTAACTTAGATCTTTAACTAAGCAACCTTTCTTTCCACCTTTGTGATATTATATCTAGTAATTTAATAACAGACAATCTATGTTGCAAATTAAACTTCCAAATTGAATAGTAATTTTCAAATCCCAAGGACCCATTTCTTCTGCCTCAATCTTAATTAGGTCTTAGTTAATAGAAAAATTAACTGGCTGGGTGCGGTGGCTCATGCCTGTAATCCCAGCACTTTGGGAGGCCAAGGTGGGCGGATCACCTGAGGTCTGAAGTTCGAGACCATCCTGGCCAACATGGTGAAACCCCATGTGTACTAAGAACACAAAAAATTGGCCGGGTATGGTGGTGGGTGGGTGCCTGTAATCCCAGCTACTCAGGAGGCTAAGGCAGGAGAATCACTTGAACTGGCGGGGTGGAGGATGCAGTGAACCGAGATCCCAGCACTGCGCTGCAGCCTGGGCAGCAACAGTGAAACTCCTCAGAAAAAAAAAAAAAGAAAAAGAAAAAAGAAAATTAACTAAATCAAGCCTAAATAAAACATATTCACAAAGTGGCAGACTTTTTTAATCCAAAAATTTAACTGTATTAATGTCTCATTTATAGAACATTATTTTACAATGAGGTTTTACACATCAATCAGTTGAGTCACTTCTTTTTTTTTTTGAGATGGAGTCTCGCTCTGTTGCCCAGGCTGGAGTGCAGTGGTGTGACCTCAGCTCACTGCAACCTCCACCTCCTGGGTTCAAGCGATTCTCCTGCCTCAGCATCCTGAGTACAGGCACTACAGGCACGTGAGCAAGAGAAGCTGACAGATTCAAATGTTCACAAACATTTATGTTCTATTTTGATAGATACATAAACTATGTTTCTCATTCTTATATACTTTATATTAGGGCATGGGATTAAAGTCAAAATAGTGGAAAATTAGTAGAAATAACATATTTTATATCCAATTAAGTCTCCAAAATCCCAACATGCACTCTTCTGTATACGTTTTTCAGTATGCTTGACTGGAACGGCCAATTCTACAGTAGTCTTGGAAGCAACATACTGCAGATTAAATACCTTAGTAGCCTATGTTCTTGAATGCGGACATAAAGGAGCAATGCTTTTCCTATCTTAAAAAAACAGTTTATATGAATGAAACTTCTGTTCTGTTTAAGATATTATATGTTGTTGAGTGTAGTTGTCAAAGCAACTAGCACGATTCCAAGTAATATAGAAATCACCAGCTTGAGTTGGGTCTGCCATAACAGCACCTAAAACGTATCCACTAAATTAGTATTAAATGGACAAGTAAACCAAACTCAGAGGGTTGAAATGAAGACTTGTAATACCCAGTGAAAAAAAATTATTGAAACTACCATCTAAAATTAATTGGAAGCTTAATATTACCTCTAGGAAAGAGTGTGGGAAATGAGGAAAGGCAAAAGGTAATGTGTTCATGTTTGTTCTGTTCCATAATCCAAGAAATAGATAAACACAGGCAAAAAAAAAAAAAAAAAAAAAAGAAAAAAGAAATATCCTGTCTTTAGAGTGGAAAGAAAGTGGATAGAGTTGAGTTGCTAAACCTTAGCATTATTGACATTTTATGCCTGATATTCCTGCATTCTGTGGGAGGTTATTCTTTGCATTGTAGGATATTAATAGTATCTTTAGGCTATACCACCACATACCAGTAGCATCACCACCTAATCATTATAATTCAAAATGTCTCCAGACACTGACAAGTGTTCTATGGAAACAAAGTCATTCCTTGTTGGAAACCACTTGTAAACAAAAAGTCTAGTAATGGTGGAATTATACAGTGACAGAAAAGCTCAGGTTTTTCTGATTAGGTTGAAAAAGCTGCTCAGAAATTAAATCCTACTGTGTTCATAAAAAACAAGGAACCCAGCCCTGAAGCAAAGAACTCATCAGGGAAGTTGTTTTCTCTTTCAAGTCTATGATTTCAAATGACCTTAAAGTGGTCATCTTTACAGTCAGAGAAGCATATGTGTGTTGGGGAGGAGAAAAAAGAAGGAAATGAGGCAGACTTTAGAATTATACCTAGGAAAGAACTGTATGTTTGGTTATAAACTAGATCCAATAAATAAATAAATGGTTTCCACATAACTACTTGGCAAAGGTACAATAAGCCTATTGTGAGAAAAAAAAATTAAGGCTTAAAATATCCTCAAGCATCCCAAATTGCACTAATCAGTGCAATTGATGAGTCATGCTGAGAAAACACTCATTGTTCTAATTTAAGATGGAGGCATGGAGAATAAGAGAAAATGTAAATTACCTCAGAAAGTAAATCTATGAGCCACAGGGACAATGGACCTTAAAGTTATTTCCACAGGACATGTTTATGGTTTCATCAAATAAATATTTGTACTGCTCAGAAATATTTTTGTCAGTGCTCTGCAGACTTCTTTGTCTTCTGATAGGAGCTTCACCATGGTAACTTAGATTTTACAGATAATTTGTCTTTTGACTTTATAGGACACTAGTCCTCGTTAAGTCATATAGTGGCCTGAGGGAGAGAACTGCACGTCATGAAACATCCTGAACTCTAAGTTGTAGGCAGTAACTGGGCAAAACTTTAAGTTGTTTACAGAGGGAAGAGAAGTGAATTTTTCATATATAAAGAAGTGTGCAAATTGTATTTCATGAGTAGTCTTTTGTCTTCTGGAATGGTGATATATACAAAGTAATCTGGGAAGATACAATTTGGTAATAGTAGATCCTTCGTTAACTTGAATTATTTTTTGCAGGAAAGATGCGTCTTTAGCCAAAATTACTTATGGTAAACTGTTATGTAAGCAAGAAATCACCTTCTACTTGGTTTAAGCTATTCAGTGTACTCTCTAGATAGATATGACACAAAGCTAGCATTATGATACAGTAAACCAAGTGTTAATGTAACTTTATGTTGATTTTGACTACATTCTGAAAATAATAAAAGTCATCTGGTATTTTAGGCTTACGATATGAACTTGATACTATGATAGGTGTCTGAAATGTTTATCTCATTTGATTCTTAGAACAAACTTATATTGTGGGTACTAATACAGTACTGATTTTTTAAATAAGAAAAAGGATTGCAAAAAATGTAAAAAGTCTTATTAAAGAGTACAAAATTCTATCTCCAAATGTGTAATGAATTTTATATAGTCAGTTAATATTTGTTTAGCTCAATAAAGTAATGTTCGGTGTAATAGTTGATTTCTTTAATGTTCATTCAGAATCACATTATCAATTTGAAATTAATTCACCTATTCGAAGAAGTTGCTTCCTCCAATTAAGACAGTATAGTAAGCAAAATAATGGTTTACAAAACAAACAAACCAACAAAAAAAAAACCGCATGTCCTGATTTCTGGAAGCTGTGAATATGTTAACTATCTGGTAAAAGGGGCTTTGCAAGTATTATAATGTTAAGGATGGTAAGATGAAAAAGTGTCCTTTTGAGTTCAGTGTAATCAAATGGGTTTAAACTAGGGAAACATTCTTGGCTAGAAACATAAGGTGGTATGATTTCAAAAGAATGGTCAGAGAGACACAGCATTTCTGGTTTGAACAAATGAAAGACCATAAGCTAACAAATCAGGACAGCCTCTGGAGGCTGGAAAAGTCAAGGAAACTGATTTTCCCCTAAAACCTTCAGAAAGGAACACAACAGTTCTCACTCTTTGATTTTAGCCTCATAAGATGCATTGCAGACATCTGACAAACACAATTGTTTGACACTATATTTGTGCTATTTTAAACCACTAACTTTGTAGTAATTGGCTACAGCAGCAGTAAGAAAATAATGCAGAGTGTTTCTATAATGGAGATAAAAGTATAAACAAGAGGCAAGGATTTCCTTCCTTCACAGTGTTTATAATATACTAAGAAAACAAACATTAAATACACAGGGCCCCAATAGATTATTCCACTTTAATTTTAGCTGGCACTGTGGAAGGAAAATAGAAATTCTAGAATATAGTGAATAGGAATATAACTTATTCTTATGTGGGAAGAAATGCTTATTACTGAATACTATTTGGGCTGAAAATAAATGCACTGTAGTTACAGTAAGTACAGTAAAAAAGGTAGTTTGCTATAAGGGAACAGAGCCATTGAAATGTAATGAAAGTCATCAAAGTTTTAGGCACTAACTATAAGTTGCAAGGAGTTAAACAATTGTAAGCAGTCCGATTATTAAAAAAATATGTGCCTGATTCTCAAAATCACAAGTATTCTTTAAGATTGCTAACCGTAGTAGTCAGTTTTCACAATGATATAAAGAATGACTTGAGACTGAGTAATTTATGAAGAAAAGAGATTTAATTGATTCATAGTTCTTCAGGCTTTACAGGAAGCATGAATGGGAGGACTCAGGAAACTCAGAAAATCATGGTGGAAGGCAAAGGGGAAACAAGGTTCTTCTTGACATGGCACCAGGAGAGAGAGAGCACAAGGAGGGAAGTGCCACACACTTTTAAACCATCAGATCTCTTGGAACTCACTCACTATCATGAGAATAGCATGTGGAAATCTGCTCCCATGATCCAGTCACCTCCACCCAGGCCCCTCTCTTGACATGAGGGGATTACAATTTGAGATGAGATTTGGGTGGGGACAGAGGGCCAAGCCATATTATTTCTCCTCTGGCCCCTCCCAAGTATCATGTCCTTCTCACATTTCAAAACCAATCATGCCTTCCCAACAGACTGGAAGTCTTAACTTATTCCAGCATTAACTCAAAAGTCCATGTCCAAAGTTTCATCTGAGACAAGGCAAATCGCTTCTGCCTATAAGCCTGTAAAATCAAAAACAAGTTAGTTAATTTCAAGACAACAGTGGGGGTACAGGGATCAGGTAAACACTCCAATTCCATAAGGGAGAAATTAGCCAAAACAAAGGGTCTGCAGGCCCCATGCAAGTCCAAAACCCGACAAGGCAGTCATTAAATCTTAAGGCTCTGAAACAATCTTCTTTGACCTCATCTCTCACGTCCAGAGCATACTGATGCAATATCTGGGCTCCCATGAGCTTTGACAGCTCTGCCTCTGTGGCTCTGCAAGGCACAGCCCCCACAGCTGCTTTCACAGGCTAGGATTGAGTGCCTGTGACTTTTCCAGGCACACTGTGCAAGCTGTCAGTGGATCTACCATTCTGGGGTCTGAAGCACTATGACCCTCTTCTCAAAGCTCCAGTAGGGAGTGCCCCAGTGGGGAATCTGTGTGGGGGCTCCAACCCCACATTTTCCCTCTGCACTGCCCTAGTAGAGGTTCTCCATAAGGGCTCCACTTCTGCAGCAGACTTTTGCTTAGACATCCAGGCATTTCCATACATCCTCTGAAATCTAGATGGAGGTTCCCAAACCTCACCTCTTCCCTTCTGCACAACCACAGGCCCAGCCTCATGTGGAAGCCACCAAAGCTTGAGGCTTGTATTCTCTGAAGCAATGGCCTGAGTAGTGCCTTGGACCCTTTTAGCCACAGTTGGAGCTGAGCAGCTGGAACACTGGGCACCATGTCCCGAGGCTGCCCAGAGCAGCAGGGCCCTGGGCCCATCCCACTAAACAATTTCTCCCTCCTAGGCCTCCAGGCTTATAATGGGAGGGGCTGCCTCAAAGGTCTCTGAAATGTACTGGAGACGTATTCCACATTGTCTTTGCCATTAACATTTGGCTCCTCTTTACTTATGCAAATTTTTGCTTGAATTTCTCCCAAGAGCGTGGGTTTTTCTTTTTTACTATATGGTTAGGCTGCAAATTTTCCAAACTTTTATGCTCTGCTTTCCTTTTAAATATACGTTTCAGTTTCAAGCCATCTCTTTCTTCATGGACATGAGCATAAACTTTTAGAAGCAGCCAGGCCACATGTTGGAAGGTCTGTTGCTTAGAAATTTGTTTCACCAGATACCCTAAATCATCTCTCTGAAGTTCAACATTACACAGATCTCTAGGGCCGGGTCAAAAGGCTGTCAGTCTCTTTGCTAAAGCATAGCAAGAGTAACTTTTTCTTCAGTTCTCAATGAGTTCCTCATCTCCATCTGAGACCCCCTCAGCCTGGACTTCGTTATCCAAATCATTATCAGCATTTTGTTCACAACCATTCAACAGGTCTCTAGGAAGATTTAAACTTTCCCATATCTCCCTGTCTTCTTCTGAGTCCTCCAAACTGTTTCCTACCTCTGCCTGTTACCCAGTTCCAAAGTTACTTCCATATTTTCAGGTATTTTTATAGCAATGCCCCACTTCTCTGGTACCAATTTTCTGTATCTATCTCTTCTCAAACTGCTATAAAGAACTACTGGGTAATTTATGAGGAAAAGAGGTTTAATTGACTCACAGTTCTGCAAGCTTAACAGGAAGCACGACTGGGAGGCCTCAGGAAACTAACAATCATGGCAGAAGGTAAAGGGGGAGCAGGTGCCTTCTTCACATGGTGTCAGTAGAGAGAAGAGCCGGGGGGAAGTTCCACACACTTTTAAACCATCAGATCTTGTGAGAACTCACTGACTGTCACGAGAACAGTATGGGAAATCCACCCCCATGATCAAATCACCTCCTACCAGACCCCTCCCCTGACACGTGGGGATTACGATTCAACATGAGATTTGTGTGGGGACACAGAGCCAAAGTATATCACTCACCTAATAAGTGCTTATCTTGATTAAATTGTATGGAAAACTACAACTTAAATTATGTGATCAGAAATTCTATCTAATGATAGACATTAATTCAAATGCCACCATGTTCTCCTGTCAGCTTCTCATATATTGTCATGGATATGATTTAATTGTCCTTCAGTGTCATGGAACACATCCTGAGATTCAGCTGATGAAGTTGCAAACTGGATAAATATAAATGATGATGTTTCAAAAAAGAAAATCCTCACTTAGTAAAAAAATGTTAGGTTTATTTTACACTTTCTTGACAGCTGAACTAATATAAAAAGCACTCACCTTGTTTCTTTCAGTTTTGTGTATGTTTTGATTGTGTCAGCTGAGTTCTTCTTCACGGGATTTTCTATGTGTCAGAGACACTTGTCCCCCATTCTGTTTTCCTGTGTAATCTCAAAATTGACAAGGGTCTTCACTGTATGTGAAAAGGATGTCTGTGTTGCTTGATTTTATGTGTGACTACTGTTTGCGATTGTCCTTTTCCCAATATGACATGTAATTTTACAGCACAGATAGTTTTTCAAAAGAATTACATTCCCAGGCTTAGCAGAGGGAGCGGCCTACTTATTGAAATGTGAAATCGAATCTCTGAAACAGAAACACCAAATTATTATACTAATCTGTAAAGTAGCTATAAAACGTTATTTTTCAGAGTGAAGTATCTGTCAAGATGGCTAGTTTTGGTGTATAATAGAAACGGTATTTTATTCCTTTTATTTCTGTAAACAGATTAAGTCTGTGTGTGTGTGTGTGTGTGTGTGTGTGTGTGTGTGTGTGTGTGTACATGGGATATAATACAAATCTACCTCGACTTATAATGAGTTACATCCTGATAACCACAGGCCAAGATGTGTTATGATGGATCTGGATATACTCATAAGTTGAAAATATTTTAGGTAAAAAATGCATTTAGTACATTTAACAAAAATACTGGCAAACCGAGTCCAGCAGCACATCAAAAAGCTTATCCACCAAGATCAAGTTGGCTTCATCCGTGGGATGCAAGACTGGTTCAACATACGCAAGTCAATAGATGTAATCCATCACATAAAGAGAACCAAAGACAAAAACCACAAGATTATCTCAATAGATGCGGAAAAGGTCTTTGACAAAATTCAATAGCCCTTCATGCTGAAAACTCTCAATGAACTAGGTATTGATGGAACATATCTCAAAATAATAAGAGCTATATATGACAAACCCGCAGCCAGTATCATACTGAATGGGCAAAAACTGGAAGCTTTCCCTTTGAAAACTAGCAGAAGACAGTGATGCCCTCTCTCACCACTCCTATTCAACATAGTGTTGGAAGTTCTGGCCAGGGCAGTCAGGCAAGAGAAAGAAATAAAGGGCATTCTATTAGGAAAAGAGGAAGTCAAATTGTCCCTGTTTGCAGGTGATATGATTGTATATTTAGAAAACCCCATCATCTCAGCCCAAAATCTCCTTAAGCTGATGAGCAACTTCAGCAAAGTCTCAGGTTACAAAATCAGTGTGCAAAAATCACATGCATTTGTATACACCAATAACAGACAATCAGAGAGCCAAATCATGAGTGAACTCCCATTCACAGTTGCTACAAAGAGAATAAAATACCTAGGAATCCAACTTACAAGGGATGTGAAGGACCTCTTTAAGGAAAACTACAAACCACTGCTCAACGAAATACAAGAGGACACAAACAAATGGAAGAACATTCCATGCTCATGGGTAGGAAGAATCAATATCGTGAAAATGGCCATACTGCCCAAGGTAATTTATAGATTCAATGCCATCCCCATCAAGCTACCAATGACTTTCTTCACAGAATTGGAAAAAACTAAAGTTCATATGGAATCAAAAAAAGAGCCCATATTGCCAAGACAATCCTAAGCAAAAAGAACAAAGCTGGAGGCATCACGCTACCTGACTTCAAACTATACTACAAGGCTACAGTAACAAAAACAGCATTTTACTGGTACCAAAACAGAGATATAGACCAATGGAATGGAACAGAGGCCTCAGAAATAACGCTAAACATTTACAACCATCTGATGTTTGACAAACCTGACAAAAACAAGAAATGGGAAAAGGATTCCCTATTTAATAAATGGTACTGGCTAGCCATATGTAGAAAGCTGAAACTGGATCCCTTCCTTCACCTTATAGAAAAATTAATTCAAGATGGATTAAAGACTTAAATGTTAGACCTAAAACCATAAAAACCCTAGAAGAAAACCTAGGCAATACCATTCAGGACATAGGCATGGGCAAGGACTTCATGTGTAAAACACCAAAAGCAATGGCAACAAAAGCCAAAATAGACAAATGGGGTCTAATTAAACTAAAGAGCTTCTGCACAGCAAAAGAAACTACCATCAGAGCGAACAGGCAACCTACAGAATGGGAGAAAATTTTTCCAATCTACCCATTTGACAAATAGCTAATATCCAGAATCTACAAAGAACTTAAACCAATTTACAAGAAAAAAACAAAGCCATCAAAAAGTGGACAAAGGATATGAACAGACACTTTTCAAAAGAAGACATTTATGCAGCCAACAGACACATGAAAAAATGCTCATCATTACTGGTCATCAGAGAAATGCAAATCAAAACCACAATGAGATAGCATCTCACACCAGTTAGAATGGCGATCATTAAAAAGTCGGGAAACAACAGGTGCTGGAGAGGATGTGGAGAAATAGGAATGCTTTTACACTGTTTGTGGGAGTGTAAACTAGTTCAACCATTGTGGAAGTCAGTGTGGCAATTCCTCAAGTATCTAGAACTAGAAATACCATGTGACCCAGTGATCCCATTACTGGGTATATACCCAAAGCATTATAAATCATGCTGCTATAAAGACACATGCACATGTATGTTTATTGCGGCACTCTTCACAATAGCAAAGACTTGGAACCAACCGAAATGTCCATCAATGATAGACTGGATTAAGAAAATGTGGCATACATACACCATGGAATACTATGCTGGCATAAAAAATGATGAGTTCATGTCCTTTGTAGTGACGTGGATGAAGCTGGAAACCATCATTCTGAGCAAACCTTCGCAAGGACGGAGAACCAAACACCGTGTGTTCTCACTCATAGGTGGGAATTGAACAACGAGAACACTTGGACACAGAGTGGGTAACATCACATGCTGGGGCCTATTGTGGGGTGGGGGGATGGGTAGGGATAGCATTAGGAGAAATACCTAATGTAGTTAATGAGTTAATGGGTGCAGCAAACCAACATGGCACATGTATACATATGTAACAAACCTGCAAGTTGTGCACATGTGCCCTAGAACTTAAAGTATTAAAAAAAAATACACTTAAGAAATGTGCTCAGAACACTTACATTAGCCAGTCCAAAAAAAAAATCTAACCTAAAGCCTATTTTTAAATAAAGTGTTGAATATCACATGTAAATTATTAAATACTGAATGTGAAAAACGGAATGGGTATATGGGTAATAAAAGCATTGTTTCTACTGAATGTTTATCACTTTTGTACCATGATGAAGCTGTAAAGTTGTACCATTGTAAATCTGGGACCATCTGTGTTACATTCAAGAGAAAAGCTCAGTCGAACTAATAAATAAATCAAAATTTCTTCTGATTATTTAGGTGTTTTTTCCTGTTAGATAATTAAGACATCCAACTGTTGCTTGCTGCTTCACCACACAGACCATACACAGATACAAATACACACTCCATGAATGAGCGTATGTGCTTGTTTAAAGAGACATACTAACCAAACAGTTGTATGCTGCCGTGATATTGATTATGTCATCAAGTTCCTTATTTAACAAAACAGAGCTGTGTATGAAGTATTTCTCTAAAATGTACATTCAATAGCAACTGGTTTTGTTCAGTCTTATGTACCCATATTATTTAAATGAGCACCTGGAGTCTAGAATTAACTAAAAAATATCTATGTTGATGCATATTAAGTTGATTTTGAAGTCATAAATTTTGACAAGAATTGATACTATGGCACTGTCATAACTTTACAAAAGATGACCTGAACTAACATGATTTTATGCTTTTACCAGTGGAACTCCCTGAAATATATTCAGATAATTTGTTATTAAAGCAAAACTAAGTTTATTGAAACCCTGTGCCAAGAAAGTACACCATTTTGACATACTTTTGCAGTGTTTCAGCAGGGAAGAGTGAGAGGAAGATTTTTCATGTTTGTGGAGAATGGCTTAAGAGAGTTAAATGAGTCTTTCAAAGTGAGTAGCTGATTGAAATTGAGCTAAACTCAGAGCATAATAGTTTAGATAGTCTAAGAAATTGAAAAAAAAGTTGATGCCAAGCATACAAGAAATAACACCACCAAAAAATAGACCTAAATACAGACAAAATTAGATTAAAAACAAGAATATGTTCAATGTTAATAAAAGCAAAAGGAACATAGACATAGTTATGGAGGAGTTTTGTTTTGTTTTAATAAGATAAAAATATGGTTAGTTTTATAGCAATACACCTGGAAATCTGGATCAATTCTGTCCACTATAGTCATTACTAGTGACATGTAGATATTGAACACTTGAAATATGGTGGATTTGAATTGATTTATGCTATATGTAAAATACAAACTAGATTTAGTTTAAAAAATGTAAAACTGAATAATTTTAATATTGTTTTATGCTGAGATGACAATATTTTGGATATACTGGATTAAATACATATAAAATATTGTTAAAAATCAAGTAGTATAGTAAAATTGGTCTTTTTGTTTTACTTTTTTATTTTGTTTTGGTTTTTGAAGGGATAGAAATCATGGCTAAGATGGACCCTGGGGCATATCATTGACCATCATGAAACATGCACTGATTTGCCAAATGTATTATTTTCCTGTGGCTGTTATAAAAATCACAATACACTTAGTAGTTTAAAACAACATAAATTTATTGTCTAGCAGTATTCCAGGTTAGAAGTTCAACACAGGTCTTACTGATTTAAAATCAAAGCATTGGAAGACTGCATTCCTTCTATAGGCTCTGTGGAATAATCCATGACCTGGCCTTTCCCAGGCTTTAGAATCCAGCTGCATTCTTTGATGCATGTTCCCTGTCTTGGGCAGCTTGGAATACTGTAAGAAAATACCATAGACCGGGTGACTTAAACAACTGACATTTATTTCTCAGAGTTCTGAAAGTTGGGAAGTCCAAGATTAAGGTGCTGGTATATTTGGTTCATGGTGAGGGCCCACTCCCTCTCTGGTTAGTAGATGGCCTCCTTCTCTCTGTGTTCACATGGCCTTTCCTGGATACATGTTTACGGAGAGAGAAAGAGAAGGGTGGTTGGGTGGGAGGTGGTCTAGTATCTCCACCTTTTCTTATAAGAACACTAACATTATCATGAGAACACCACACTTAGGACATTATCTCAACCTAGGTTCCTCCCAAAAGCTCCATCTCCAGATACTATCACACTGCCAATTAATAGATCATTGAAAATAATCTATTAATATTTGAACAATGCCAATCATCTTCAATAGATTAATTTTAGGGAGACACAAATATTCAGTTCATAACAGTTCCTTTCCTTGACCTTCAAAGCTACAAATGAAGGAGCAAGTCTTCACATTCTCCTTTTATATCTCCCTCTTCTACGTGTAAAGAATCTTATGATTGCATTTGGCCATCTAAAAATCTATGATAGTCTCTCCATTTCAAAATCCTTAACTCTAATTGCATTTGCAAAGTCTGTCCTGCCAGGTAAGCTAACAAATTTATAAATTATCTGGATTAGGACCGCATCATCTCTGAAGAGCCATTATTCTGACTACCACATCAGTATGTTAGTTTATGTCAAGATTGCTGTAATAATCAATAGGTTCTGGTACCACAAATCCAGTAGCAGTCATTAAGGTTGATTGAGTTTATTGATTGCTTTCAGCTCCATTCTGCTATTAATCACTTTTGGGGATATAAAATGAAGACCTTATCACATAGAGGAAGAGGTAGATGTGATAGGAGCTTGAATATGTAATAAGAATTTTTTATGATATGTAAATGTGAGAAATGAATTAAGTATGTGCCATTTGTTCTCTTCTTTTTAAGACATTTCTTTCTAAAGGTTTAGTGACAGAAGTTGCATTCTATTAAAGATCCCTAAGTGCTGTTCTGCTGTAGGCATAAGCTTTCTTTCCTGGGTGCAGCATGTTAGGATTTAAGATTTCTATTTATCTAATACTCTGCTGTTTGTCAGATAAAATAACAATAAATAGTGAGTCCAATTATTGATAAACCCAGATGTTTCATATTTAGGAATCGATGTTAAAAAAAAAAACTCTAATTGGCATCCTAAGGAAAATGTGTGCAGCTTAGCACTGATTCAACTGCATGTTTAGCCAAATTGTGAACAAATTACGGCCAGCTTCCGGACTCTTCTAGAGAGTGACTAAGGACGGCATAGAGGAATTAGGAATAGTAGCTTTATAGGTAAAGTAATTAAATGTAACCTTAAGCATAAAAAGATAAAGTTAACTAGGAAAATGAAAACTCAAGATATACAGATTAAATATGACAAACAATGGATCTTTTTTTGTGGATCTTGGTTTGCAGATACCGATATCTCATATAGTGATTCACTTGATCCAAAGGCATTTGATGGAAGCTGTCTTCTCCCAAAGACTATTTGCTTTTGGAAGAATCCTAAGAGTCATTAGTTAGAAGTTTTTGGTAGGGATACTTTCCTGTAATATGAAGATGACCTAAACCTCTTTACTTGAGAGATAGGAATCAAAGGATCAGTCTTTTAAAGACTATGGGTTTGCTAGTTGTTAGCTGTGCCTGATAGTGACTTTTTTCCTATGATCTTTCCCTGCCGTGTCTCTTAGAAGACAAGGTATCCAGGTATGAAAACCAATTTTGCAGACATTGTTTAGGATACTAATGGGGAAAGTCTTCAGTAACTTTTGTTGAAAGAATGGATTTCCTGAGTCCTTACAGCATTTAGTTAAATAAGTGTAGATTTCTAGAATCAGAGCTAATATTCCTAGACACTTGGTTTAGCTGTTACTAACTCATGAACCACAGAAAGAAGAAATACCTTAGACCATGCAAGTTTGACGATGTCTGTGAACTTTACCAACTTTAGTTTCAGAATTCCATCTTTCTACCTTCCCAAAAGGTTGAAAGTGATATGGACAGTGAAGTCTGATTAATTGACAGAACTTTTCCATGTTAATAAAAATTCCGGTAAAATGGTTTCCTTGTTACTAGAGATATAGTTTGGGATTCCCCAGGCTGAAAAAAAAAAAAAGGATTTTCTCCATGCCAACAAGAGACAAATAATGATCAGAACATATTTAAAATCTATTGCCAGCACTTGTTATGAAAAATTCATTTAGATTTTTACTGAGACATTTTACAGTTTTGTTAGGATTAATCTGACGAAGGTTGAGACAAGTTGTAAGGATATAGTTATATAAAGATATACTTACCAATTTTAGCAAAATTTTCCTCCAGCTATTGGTTAAATACATTGGTCAATTTGTCCTCATTGTGCCAGAAAAGCTCAGCAGTTCTGACTAAAGTTTATGTTAACCCATTGCCAGTAGAATGAAAGAGTTGAATCCTCTCTTAAATTATAATATATAGTTGACTCCTCAACAACACAGGTTTGAACTGTGCAGGTCTGCTCATATGTAGATTTTTTCCTATAAATATATTAGAAAATTTTTGGAGATTTATGAAAAATTGAAAAAGATAACAGGTGACCCATCTACACAAGAAATATTAAAAAACTAAGAAAACGATGTCATGAATGCATAAATCATATGTAGATACTAGTGATCATTTAATACAATGAGATATATATGCGTCTATTATAAAAAGTTAAAATTTATCAAGACGTAGGCAAACACAGAGCATACATGCAGCCAATTGAAGTTTAGAGAAAAGTAAAACAAAAATATACAAAAGTAAATCATAACTGCACAAAATTAACTGTAGTACATACTGTACTACTGGGATAATTTCCTAGCCTCCACCTGTTGTTCTTGCAGTGAACTCAAGTGTTGTGAGTATTCACTTAAAATGCCACATAATGCTAATCATCTTCTTGTGAGTAGCTTGTCTCTCCAGTAAATTAACACAGTAAAAAGTGTTCTCTCATGTTTCTCCTGTATTATTCATGATGTCTAGTGCAATACCATAAACCTTGAATAACACCTTCAGACCTATAAAAAGTGCTGCTAGTGATGCTGAAAGTTCTTCCAGGAAACAGAGAAGGGTCCTGACATTACAGGAAAACAATGAATTGCTTGATAGGTACCCTAGATTGAGGCCTGCAGCTGTGTGTGCTGCCATTTCAGAAGAAGGATCCATCTTGTAAACACAGGATTGTAAACTTATGAGAGAAATAAATATACTGTAGTACTGTAAACGTATTTTTTCTTCCCTATAATTTTCTTAATAACACTTTCTTTTCTGTAACTAGCTTCATTGTAAAACTACGGTGTAAAATACATACAGCGTATGAAATATGTGTTAAGGATTGTCCAGTCAACAGTAGGCTGTTAGTTTAGTTTTGGGGAGTCCAAAGTTATATGTGAATTTTTGACTGTGCTGGGGTGGTGGGGAGGGGTTAGGGAGGTTTGATGGCCCTAAACCTTGTGTTTTTCAGGAGTCAACTGTACAATTTAGAAGAATATGATTTAGAATTTCCCTGAGATTAAGAACATATTAAATGGTGGGAAGGATATTGATAGACCTCTAGATCTAGTGACACTATCAACTTTGACTGTGTCTGTTTGATGAAGGAATTAAAATCTAGTAACAAAAGCATTTTGTAGATAGTTATTGTACCAGTCTTTGTTCTTGAACATCAGTGTGTTTTTTTGAACTGAAAATCACACATTGAATGAAAGGCTTCATCTCAATATATTTTATTTACACATAAATTTGAGCTGTTTTTTGTTCACAAGTTTGGCCGATAAAAGAGCCCTCACAATAGCTTTAATTACCATTTAAAATTACAAATTAATGTGATTTTTTAATTTTTCTCTCTTTTGTAGGGTGAAGGAGCAATGCTTTTGGTTACTCAGTATTCTCTCAAGAAAATTTAAAGATAGTTTATACATAGAAGATATTTTAACAGGCTATATTCTGAACTTGTGGCCCGGATTTGGAAAAAGCAATATATCAAGTATGGTTCAAGGGGACAAGAAAGAGAGAAGCATTTGTTACCATTTTTCCAAGTCAAAAATATTTAATCAGATAATATTTTAAAAGCCAGCAATAATTAGTAATGATTGGTATAATGTTTTTGTCAAAATTATTAAATAGGAGATAAAATTAAAAGCTTTATTTTTTTGCATTCAAATAAAATTTTAAGTATTTTGATGAGCATATTAAATCAACAATGCATGTATTACATTGAACCTGACTTCTTAATAAGTTGCAACCAAATCTTTAATGATAAGTTTAGGTCAGAGAGATAATTTTGAGATTTGTCACCATAAAGATAGGGTATAATGTGATGTAAATAATTAAGATCAGGTGGAAAGACAAATAAGATTGAAGGAAGACCCAAGACCAAGGTTTGAGGCACTCTCAGAAGTTCTAAAAAAAAAATTTAGACTATGAGTAAAGAAGGATTGATCAGCAAGGTGAAATGGATCAAGGAAATGTGGGCACTCAGAGGTACAGAGGGGTTAATTGCTGCTCAGAAAATACTCAGACGAATGCTGAACAATAGATTAGATAGAACCGATGTCCTAGAAATCATGAAGATAAGTGACTTTATTAAAATACATATTATAAACAAAGAAGGAATTTACTGTTCGAAAAGTTGTCTTGAAGAATTGTTTTGGGAGAAAATAAAAAATAAACCTTATTTTCTAAAATACACTAAAACTAATTCCAAATGAGTCAAAGGATTGTGTACAGATATTTTAAATTAATAAAACAATGTTAGTGCAGATTCTCTTTAATTACTTCCCTGATTGTTTTACCTATAGTAACTCATTTAATTCTACTAGCAATCTTTTCATGTTGGATACAGCTATTCAAATTTTCTTTTGTTATTGCAATAGCCTCCTAACCATTCTTCCACAAAATTGAGGCACTAAAAGGTTGTGAAATTTCCTCTATGCCACAGAGCTTTTTAGTGATGATTTGGCATTTGGAAGCACATCTTTGAAATGTTCATTTTTCTCTGATGGCCAGTGATGGTGAGCATTTCTTCATGTGTTTTTTGGCTGCATAAATATCTTCTTTTGAGAAGTGTCTGTTCATGTCCTTCGCCCACTTTTTGATGGGGTTGTTTGTTTTTTTCTTGTAAATTTGTTTGAGTTCATTGTAGATTCTGGATATTAGCCCTTTGTCAGATGAGTAGATTGTGAAAATTTTCTCCCATTCTGTAGGCTGCCTGTTCACTGTGATGGTAGTTTCTTTTGCTGTGCAGAAGCTCTTTAGTTTAATTAGATCCCATTTGTCAATTTTGGCTTTTGTTGCCATTGCTTTTGGTGTTTTAGACATGAAGTCCTTGCCCACGCCTGTGTCCTGAATGGTAATGCGTAGGTTTTCTTCTAGGGTTTTTATGGTTTTAGGTCTAACGTTTAAGTCTTTAATCCATCTTGAATTAATTTTTGTATAAGGTGTAAGGAAGGGATCCAGTTTCAGCTTTCTCCATATGGCTAGCCAGTTTTCCCAGCACCATTTATTAAATAGGGAATCCTTTCCCCATTGCTTATTTTTCTCAGGTTTGTCAAAGATGAGATAGTTGTAGATATGCGGCGTTATTTCTGAGGGCTCTGTTCTGTTCCATTGATCTATATCTCTGTTTTGGTACCAGTACCGTGCTGTTTTGGTTACTGTAGCCTTGTAGTATAGTTTGAAGTCAGGTAGCGTGATGCCTCCAGCTTTGTTCGTTTGGCTTAGGATTGACTTGGCAACGCGGGCTCTTTTTTGGTTCCATACGAACTTTAAAGTAGTTATTTCCAATTCTGTGAAGAAAGTCATTGGTAGCTTGATGGGGATGGCATTGAATCTATAAATTACCTTGGGCAGTATGGCCATTTTCACGATATTGATTCTTCCTACCCATGAGCATGGAATGTTCTTCTATTTCTTTGTATCCTCTTTTATTTCATTGAGCAGTGGTTTGTAGTTCTTCTTGAAGAGGTCCTTCCCATCCCTTGTAAGTTGGATTCCTAGGTATTTTATTCTCTTTGAAGCAATTGTGAATGGGAGTTCACTCATGATTTGGCTCTCTGACTGTCTGTTATTGGTGTATACAAATGCGTGTGATTTTTGTACATTGATTTTGTAACCTGAGACTTTGCTGAAGTTGCTCATCAGCTTAAGGAGATTTTGGGCTGAGACAATGGGGTTTTCTAGATATACAATCGTGTCATCTGCAAACAGGGACAATTTGACTTCCTCTTTTCCTAATTGAATACCCTTTCTTTCCTTCTCCTGCCTAATTGCCCTGGCCAGAACTTCCAACACTATGTTGAATAGGAGTGGTGAGAGAGGACAAATCAAAACCACAGTGAGATACCATCTCACACCAGTTAGAATGGCAATCATTAAAACGTCAGGAAACAACAGGTGCTGCAGAAGATGTGGAGAAATAGGAACACTTTTCCACTGTTGGTGGGACTGTAAACTAGTTCAACCATTGTGGAAGTCAGTGTGGCGATTCCTCAGGGATCTAGAACTAGAAATACCATTTGACCCAGCCATCCCATTACTGGGTATATACCCAAAGGACTATAAATCATGCTGCTATAAAGACACATGCACACGTATGTTTATTGCGGCACTATTCACAATAGCAAAGACTTGGAACTGACCCAAATGTCCAACAATGATAGACTGGATTAAGAAAATGTGGCACATATGCACCATGGAATACTGTGCAGCCATAAAAAATGATGAGTTCATGTCCTTTGTAGGGACATGGATGAAATTGGAAATCATCATTCTCAGTAAACTATCGCAAGGACAAAAACCCTAAGACCGCATGTTCTCACTCATAGGTGGGAATTGAACAATGAGAACACATGGACACAGGAAGGGGAACACCACACGCTGGGGACTGTTGTGGGGTGGGGGAAGGGGGGAGGGAAAGCATTAGGAGATATATCTAATGCTAAATGACGAGTTAATGGGTGCAGCACACCAGCATGGCACATGTATACATATGTAACTAACCTGCACATTGTGCACATGTACCCTAAAACTTGAAATATAATAATAATAAAATTTAAAAAAAATGTTCATTTTTAATTATAGCACTACACCATGCACTGAATCACGGAGGGTAAAAATGCACACTGTTAATAAGAAGGAGGGAGTCAATCTCATTAGTATTATAATATTTATACTGAATGAGACTCCATTCCCGAAATTCACAGAATTAAAATAATAAAAATAAAAATTTATTGCTAGCCAATTTGCAGCAAAAAAGATTCATTCTCATATTCTGCTATGAGAAAATAAATGAAATTGAATTTTAAAAGACATTTTTGGAAAGCCCTTTGAATTAACCAGAAAATTGTTAAATTCGTAGTTTTTTTGACTAACATTCTTCTTCCACGTTAACAGAATTTATATATAAGTGACACTCATTGCATATACTTTTAAGGGGTAAAATAATTACTAAATTTATGTACACTATTAATACTTCATTGTATAAAATTGCATATATACCCATATGCAAATGTGCACAGAATCAATAGGGTAACCATAGACATAAAATGATCAGTGCAGGATATTTTATTTATGCATTTTATATATAATATACTTTTCATTTAATATTTTTGCTAATTTTATTGAATTGAATATTTATGCCTTGGTTATAGAACAACTAAATTTATTTTCAAAGAAACTCCATTATTATTGTCTGCAAGAGTAAAACTTATAAACAATCTAAAAATTCAACCAAATACAACCATTTACAATTGTGCCCTGGTTGAATTTGTAATCATAGGAGAAAACACAGGTGTTGAATTTTTTGAATTTCATTTAAAAAATAATTGACACAATCCCTAAGGTATCATATAAATTAATTGAATTGTTATTGTCTTGGGTTAACATTTATTTCTAGAGTTTTTTTTCCCCTAATATCTGATTTTTTCCATTAACATTACTTATTTGGATAATCAGAAAAAAATCAACATTGCCAAAAGATAGATAATACCACAAGCGAAATATCTATGATAATGATAGGAAAATGCTTTGAATTCAGGCTGAATGAGAATTAGTCTAGGAAAACAGCTTGGACCCTCTCATTCCTGTTAATGTCATCTCTGTGTTTAGCACTGCTGCTATTCCTCAGCTACTAAGAAATGCTCTATTGCTGGGCATGGCATATGGGAAGCCAAGAAAAATGACTGGCTGCTTGGTGACAGCTCTCTAGTCCTCATGCCAAGTTCTGCCAGTGATTTAAATATTAAGTAATGGAAAGAATTTTGAAATCCAGGATGATTAGAAAAGTCATTTTCTACAAAAGTGAAGCATTGTCTTTAGAGATTAAAATCTATGAAAATAACATTATTGAAATACTAGACTTCAGACTATTTTTCTGAATTACTGTAACTGTTGAAATAGGTCTTTCAGCCCATTAAGATAAACACCACACTTTTCTCTTCATGATCTCCAGCTGTAATTTTATAGTGAAAGGTGCTTGCATAAAAGAGTTCACACTATCTGAAAGATGTCACATGTAACATTGACTGGCAGCCATTTCAGAATGGCAGACAGCCAATAAATCATTCAGAACTATGTGTCACTCGTTGTGGCTTTAAAATTGTATTCCTTCTCCTTTGATAAAGAACATTTCAATGTCAAATAGTTTGTTCTATTTAAACTTATACATCAACCAGAATATTGAGATACACAATAAAATTAAATGATTTGGTAATACCTTTAGAATTTATCTAAAAACAGCCGTATGTATTTGCATGACAGATTTGGTTCACAAACCGATCAAGTTGTTAGTATCAAAGGCATGTTTTAGTGCTGATTTGTGTATAGATAAATTTAGGAAATTACATAAATAGAAATACTTCTTTATAAAATTCCTTGACCTTGTGATATCTTGGTATTAAGAATCTTAAAGGAATCATTTAAAAAAATTCAAAAGCAAACAATTTCGATTTTACAAGAGCTAAGAAAAAAACATTTTGCTATGGACACAGATCGCTCTTCAAGAAAAGATTTCTTTCCCCCTTGGCTGCTAGGAGCAATATTACAAAGCAGCCTTCAGCTCTCAGCTCCTTCAAAGTTTGCCTCAGCTGTAACCATTGTCTGGCTCAATGTTAGGTCATCCTGGAGCACTGGACATGCAAACACGAATGGAGATGAGGTTATAAAGCCTGGCCATTTTGACCCACCTGAGAGGATTCTGACAGGTCCTTCCAGTGCCTGAGAAACCCAGGGCTCACATGCTTTATATTCTGATCATTCTGTAGGGGTTGTTCCCATGGGTGATAGAAGCTGCCAAATATAAAGAGGCAACCATGCAAATTTTTAGGAATTATTTCCAAAACTCTCATAACAACATCATATATATTTATTGGTTGTTTAAGTAGATTTCTGAGGAGTAGATAGCAACGATAGAAGTGAAAGAAAGTAAATGCAGTTGTTAAAGGATTAGTCTTCCCATACTTAGAAAGTACACAAGTTGCATATACACTATGTTCCTTCCCTAGAGCAAGTATTTCAATGCAGTCATGTGTGTGTGTTTGTGTGCTTGTGTGTGTGTGGTGTGTGTGTGTGTGTGTGTATGCTAACTGAACTCATTATAGATTTTATTGGATCAGATATATGAAGAGACTTGGAAGACTTGGGTTTGTCTGGAACTGGGTGAAATAGAGAAGGACGATCATTGACATAGAAAGCTGATTACTTTGTCCTTTGAGTATAAATAGTCTTACAATAAAATGGCATCTCCACTGTCTAAAACACATTTTTACATTTGCTCTCCTTCTGAAATTATTTATGTGAAATTAACAAATGTACTTATTACCTTAGAAACAAACGATCCGTAATTTATATTATTTATTGTATATTTGTAGATCCACTTAAAATTGATTTGCAATATAAGGAAAAAATGCGTTTTATAAGTTGTTTGCTTTGTGTAGTGCATCTTGTTAACCGTAGGACTACTGTTGCATTGAAACAAAATAGAATTAATCTGTTCAGGTAAATAGAACTGGAAGTGAGATTTGTTGTCACTCCTTCTCCTTCAAGTACTGACCAGTCTTTTAATTCACACATAACTAACACTCTGTGCAATAATATTTTTTTGTTCTCTGTCTTTTCAAACAGAACTCAAGCTCCATGAGGAGATGTTTCATTGTCGGTGAGCACATTCTTGTCAATTAGTTCCTTCTTGTTTCTTACTATAGCCCCTGTGTCTAGAACCTTTCCAGGTATTCAGTAGCCATTTAAAAATTATTTGTTGAATGAATTGTTATTTTAAAGAACATCCACAAGTTTTGCCTGACTGGGCATGGGAATACATGCCCATCTTTGGACTGAATGTCCATTTTTCCCTTCTTTGATTTATCAAAATATTGGTTAAATGATCAGGACTACCGTCAGAAGGAATTTTATATCTAAAAATAGTTTACCTTCTATGGATGTAAAAAATAGTTGTAGTAGTTCTGGCTTTTATATTATTCGATGTTTCAAAGCGGTTTTTTTTTTCCATCACCATATTCTACGTTCTTGAAAAGTACTCGTTCATGTGACTGCTATCATTTATGCTTGTGCAGCACGTAGATACAGGAGAGAAGATAAGGAAAATGCTTACCCTGTGTCTCCTTCCCTGTAACACAGTTTTTTTTACCATATTGATTCTCCACTTTCTACTCCCTAAGTAAAATTTTGCAACAGGCATTTGGGAAACTCTGGATACAAGAAAAAAATTTTAATATTGTACAAAGAGACAAGAGGTGACTTCTTTTTTATTTTTCATTTAGAGTTTATAGTTTAATTAAAGAAAATGCACATATATCTAAAGATAATCATGGATAATACACTCATGTAATTACTACTTTCAGTGGTTGTAACAACAGCCAAAGCACAAACAGAAATGAGAAAGAATTATCAGCATTATGCAAGTACATATCCTCTTTAAGAATTCCTGTTATAGTGAAAGCATTAAAATAATTGAACACGTACAGAGACCATATACTTTGTGATCTTTTTAAAAAAGTATTCAAAATATATTTCTGTGTGCAAAACATTTTCATAATGGTCTTGTTTAAATGAAAGTATTTAGAATAGCACATTGTAAAATTATGCTGCAGAGCACAAGTATTTTTCTCTTTAGAAGACACATAATAAAATAGAATCATCAGTGTTTTTTCATAAACATGAATCTTTAGAGTGTTACTTGATCCTGCACAATAAGGGTACTTTTTTGCTTAATGTAAGCATAGTATACTAATTCTTTTAAACTTCAGAAAGCATATTTACAGTCTAGGCAGATGGGACATGAAGGTCACACAGCATGAGCAGTGAAATATCTCATTTACCTAGAGTTCTAGAGAGAATTTTAGGAACTCTTATTTATTATCAGTGCATAAACAAGAGTAAACTCTACAAAACTGTTTGCAAAACTCTCCTCTTTCTACTCAGAAGGCTTTCCCTAGAATAATCATTATGGAGTCTGTCCATCCTTTACTCATTCACTGCATGGGGACAGGTGTTAGTTATGAGATTGGTGAATTTAGAAAGCTAACCAATTTCATACCTATTTTGGGATTCTCAATTCACAAACTTTTGTGCGTTTCTTAATTATTTCCTTTCTTTTTCTTGTAGAGAGCAGTCATGATGGCCTGCACTCCACACAATGCAACAGAGTGAAAGAGCAGGTTCTGCTTCTTTGGTGTAGTCCTGAAGCTTCCTAAGAAACTTCACATCAGGTGATGGATAGGAGCAACCCTGTAAAACCAGCCTTAGACTATTTTTCAAACAGTAAGTAATAAAGGTGACGTTTTGATCTTTATCTGCTTAATTACTTCTGCTATGATTCTATTGATTCTAACATTGAAGGAGCAGTAAATTTATATGTATTATCCAACTATAAAACAATAAATAAACGATATGTCAAATACATTATCACATCCTTATGTTCTTATGATAATATTGTCCTTTTTTTAACAGTTTTTATTCTTATTTGTTGATTGGTTTGTCTTTATGTTGTCCTTTCTACTATCAAACTGAACATGTTGAGGTCATAGGCTATCAAAACTGTACATTTCTGATGCTAACCATAGAGACTTAACAACAGTAAATAGGCCAAA
Source organism: Homo sapiens (assembly GCF_000001405.40). NCBI lineage: Eukaryota > Metazoa > Chordata > Mammalia > Primates > Hominidae > Homo > Homo sapiens. The sequence goes on from NT_187651.1 coordinate 81,085, forward strand.
ATGGAATGTTGTTAGCCATAGTGTGTATTATTATTTCTTTTATACATGTGGTCACTGTTAGAGGAGTTTATGACTTTTTGCCTAGATTAATGACACACAAACCATCTACAAACGAATCATACCTTATTCCCTCACTGTAATTTTTAATGTTGCTATTTTTGCCTGTTAACATTCCATAGGTTTATCACATTGCTTAAAGATTTAATTTAATTTCTGTAATTGTATATGTCATGAGAGATTGCTTTTAACCTTCCAATGTTCGTGGTCTCATTTTCACTAACATAATCCCAACTTTAGCTGCGCACAATACCACATTTCCCAGCATTCCTTGCATCTGGATATAGCTGTATTCAAATAAGCCGTGTGAAACTTCTGGGATGGCTCCTTAAGTGCAGTTGACTCATTAGGGAGGTATGTCTTTTTTATTTTTCTACACTTTGTGCTGCTGTCCTGGAGTACAGACATGGTGGCTAGAAGCATGAAATCACCTTGAAGATAGAAGTCATGCATTGAAGTTAGTAAAAGTGAAATGTAAGTGTATAGTTTCCTGATGAAAATGGGAAGCTTATGTACTAGCAACAGAATGCTTATTATGCAGGCTTCCTATATGTAAAAGAGGACAAATTCTCATTTTATTAAGTTTCTGAAAGTAGATTTCTAAATGCTGGTTCTATTTTTTATTGAAAGTAATGGCAAAAAACGCAATGCCTTTTGTACCAACCTAATAGTTAATAAACATATCCTCAAATGAAATGTCTTAGAATTGTGTTCATCAAGTTAATATTAATAATTTATTAGAATAGCACTCTAAAGGGTTGCAGCCTATGCATGAAAATACTTACAAACTACTACATGATAATCAATTCTTTTTGGCAAGACTGCTATTTACATGGACACAAGAGTTATTATAAGAATGTTGTATGTATACATGAATAGTGTCTGTTAAACACTGGATATAATAAAAACAATAGTTTTTCTGTTAATTATAACAATCTGAACATTTTTGTGATTATATTTCACAAATGACACACCATTTTATTTGCAGATTTTTCTTATCCCCAAAGTTTTTGTTAATTTATTACCAACACAGCACACAAGTCTAGTGGCAATGCATTGCCTCTGCAGTTGATTTTGAAGTAAGAAGGCCTATTTATTGCATTCATTCCTGCTTAGATGACATCTTAAATTTGTTAATTGGATTATTATGCTCTATTCTATACATTTATTGATTTATAGATTTTGTGGACACAAATTTCAAAACATATTCGAAAATTTGGTGATAGCTTTTTAGAATCTATTCTTCAACATAGTTATTGAAAGTGAACAAGAAGGACCTCCTCTAGAGATTAGGTTGAGAACCACTTCTTTGATTTGTTAAATATGTGTACATGGATACCATGTGGCTTTATTATGAGGAGCCACTTAAGTGGCTGAGTTACAATTCACAAAACATTGTCACAGGGAAAATATCAGGACAAATTTTCAAGTCGCATGCCAAGAAAAGAAACTTTCTGAATGCTTATAAGAAATACCTTAATTAATGGGAGCCCTTCAAAGTACACAAAACATCATAACTAGGAGTTGCAACACAACCAGCAATTTGCTGATTGAAATGCATTCATTCATACTGACTTCACCTGCTGAATGGAATATTGTGCTGTACTGTCCTTAGCTATGGAGAGAGAATTAAGGAATATCCCCTTCTGGTGTTCAACAACAACGAAAGAGCAAGAAAGATATATTCCTAATTTTTAAAGAAGAATGTAGAGATACTTAAACAAGACAATGAAGGTGGTAGAAAGATTATTACCATCCCCAAAGTGTTTGCTCATTAAAACATTTTGTGATTTTCTCTGCCAATATCATACCTGTATGGATAATTGTTTTCCTATCCACACAGTTATGAGAGTGAGAAGATGGAATATAAAAGATGGAACAAGAGGGAATCTGTGTGGTGACCACAGTAATCACAGGCTGGTTGGGATCCTAAACTCGGCCACAGCACAAAAGCATGTTCAAGTTTAAAGTCATGAGAGAGGCCTGGCATAGTGGCTCACACCTATAATCCCTGCACTTTGGGAGGCCAAGGTGGGAGGATTGCTTGGGGCAAAGAGCTCAAGATCAGCCTGGGCAACATAGTGAGATCCCATCTAAAAAAATGTTCTTTAAGTTAGCCTTATGTGGTGGCATGTTCCTGTGGTATCAGCTACTCAGGTGGCTGAAGTGGGAGGGTCACTTGAGCCTGGAGGTTGAGCCATAATCATGCCACTGCACTCCAGCCTTGGTGACAGATTAAGACTCTGTCTCCAAAAGTAAAACACCAAACAACACAAAAAGTAAAGTCACAATAAAATGAGATGCTATTAAGGTTGTTTTAGGTTGATTTTCAACTAGACCAGCATTTAGCCTGTACAAAGGCATATACAAAATAAACCCTAAACCTAAATGGGATTCAGCAGCAGCAGTGTGGGTTAAAGAAGCCACCAGTTCCCTGGAGGCCAGAACCACAGGCCTGTGGCCTTTTTTATTGTTTTGACAGGGAGGTGGAAAGCAGGAGTATAACTACATTCAAGTGTCTGCTCTGTTGCTGTAGGAGAAAATCCGTGCTGTAGCACATCAAAGTTTTTCCAAATTTTATTTCTTAGGACATCTTTGGGGTTTATGTAAGTATTAAATAGAGCTCCCCTAGCCCAGGCTTACACAGGACATATGTCTAGTGTCATAGGTCTGTATGCTTAAATTATAGCAGAAAGTTTGCTAAAATTTAAGTGAAGTAATGTTGAAGGTTGAATCATTTGAAACAAACTACCTGCACCAAAATATTCTTTAGTGTACTGATTTCTATCCCACCCCTAATGAGGCTGAATTTTAATCTTAACTCTGCTTGTAATTAGGTATTTATATGTGTCTGTTATTCATTTTTTAACAAGATGTCTCTTCAGAGATAAAATGAGGGTAGCAAAAAATAATTTTAATAGCCATTTATATGGCTTTGATAACAATTGTCTGTTCTACTTATCTGACTGATTCTAAACTCTAAAGGTTATTTTACAGTTAGTAAATTACATAATTTTTATGCAACAATTTGCCTGCCAGGATTCCTATAATACTTGTCAGCTATCAGTAGGTATAAGCCTGTTAGCCTCTAATGTGAAGATAATATCTCTTTAAGTTATAACGCATTTACAATTGTTACAGTTTCTAAGGTCTTTTTGAAGTTAGAGATGCATCTGAGGATGATGGTTTTCAAGGAGATAGCTCTTTGACAAAAAATGACAATATGGGACTTAGTGTTATATTAATTTACACATTATGTTTTTGCTATAAAGAGATAAAAGGTGTGCTATACTACCTATCAATTACTGTATGCCACATTTTGTAGAATTGTTTTCCATATTATTGTAGAATGTGGCACTTAAATAGTATCATGAAAAAAGTTTATTCAAGAAATAAGACATTAATGAAATATAATTAATATATAAAGACTATATTTAAAAATAATTATGTATTTCTAATCCTAAACTTTTTAAGGTGACATTATTTTTTTCTGTGATATAATTTCAGTTGAGAAGAACTTTAAATTTTAATAAGATTTTAAGATGATTCAGTAATGTTAACATACTTTTCTTCTGTAAATTTTGTTAACAATTTAGCTGCATTAATTAAATATTTATGTAGCTAATTTTAATAGTGATATTTTAATACAATTCTTAATTTTACTCCTGGCTTTCAATCATTCATATATGTTTTTAAAAATTGCTTTTTCCATTGCTTTACTTCTTAATTACTTTTATCAAAGTCTTAATTGTGTGTGGTTGATTTTAAAAGTTAAATATTTCTATAAGATTTATAAAGACAAACTGGGTACAGTGAGTCACACCTGTAATCCCAGCACTTTGGGAGGCCGAGGGGGTAGATCACTTGAGGTCAGGAGTTCGAGACCAGCCTGGCCAACATGGTGAAAGCAGTTTCTACTAAAAATACAAAGATATGCCTGGTGTGGTGGTTGGCCCCTGTAATTCCAGCCACTTGGGAGGCTGAGGCAGGAGAATTGCTTGAACCTTGGAAGCGGAGGTTGCAGTGAGCTGAAACCATGCCATTGCACTCCAGCCTGGGCAGCAAGAGCGAAACTCCATCACACACACACACACACACACACAAAATATATATATATATATATATATATATATATAAAATATATATATGTATGTATGTATATATACATGTATATGTGTGTGTGTGTATATATATATACACACACTATATATATATATATATATATATATACACACACACAATAGAAATGTCCTGGCTATATCTATATTAATAGGTTTTGCACATTTAAACCAAAGTCACACATATGGTTTGATTCTAATTAATTCTAATGCATCTTGCAGGTTTCAAACTGTATTCTATTATGTAATTATCTGCTGATCCACTCTGTATCCTGTTGTGTAAGTTGCGATGATTAACCTCTGCCTTTACGATGTAATCCAAATGTAGCATATAGACCTCAATGATAAGATTGATCATGGTGCATTTAATCATTAATTTATTATTAATCTCTTTTATCCTGGTACTTAGAGTGCAGATTTTTCTCAACAACTATTTACGCAATCATTAAATGAAATACAGCCTTGTGTCACTTAGCAATGAGGATATGTTCTGAGAAGTGTGTGGCTAGGTGATTATCTTACTGTGCAAACTTCATAGAGTGATCAATCTATAATGGTGATAGCAATTTTTCAACCCTATTATAATCTTAATGAGCCATTGTTTTACATGCTGTCTCTTATTGATGTAAACGTTGTTATGTGGCACATGATTATGTAAAAGATATTAATCCATTCATTATTTATGCATTCATCCATTTGACCTATGGTAGTGTTCTATTGAAAATGAGTCATCGTGATACAGAAATCCACTGTTAGTTGTTTTTACTTTCTCTTGTTCGTGGGGAAGAGTGGGTATTGATTTTAAAAGTCTAAAGAATGGGGTATTGTGAATAGTGCCGCAATAAACATACGTGTGCATGTGTCTTTATAGCAGCATGATTTATAATCCTTTGGGTATATACCCAGTAATGGGATGGCTGGGTCAAATGGTATTTCTAGTTCTAGATCCCTGAGGAATCGCCACACTGACTTCGACAATGGTTGAACTAGTTTACCGTCCCACCAACAGTATAAAAGTGTTCCTATTTCTCCACATCCTCTCCAGCACCTGTTGTTTCCTGGCTTTTTAATGATTGCCATTCTAACTGGTGTGAGATGGTATCTCATCGTGGTTTTGATTTGCATTTCTCTGATGGCCAGTGATGGTGAGCATTTTTTCATGTGTTTTTTGGCTGCATAAATGTCTTCTTTTGCGAAGTGTCTGTTCATGTCCTTCGCCCACTTTTTGATGGGGTTGTTTGTTTTTTTCTTGTAAATTTGTTTGAGTTCATTGTAGATTCTGGATATTAGCCCTTTGTCAGATGAGTAGGTTGCGAAAATTTTCTCCCATTCTGTAGGTTGCCTGTTCACTGTGATGGTAGTTTCTTTTGCTGTGCAGAAGCTCTTTAGTTTAATTAGATCCCATTTGTCAATTTTGGCTTTTGTTGCCATTGCTTTTGGTGTTTTAGACATGAAGTCCTTGCCCACGCCTGTGTCCTGAATGGTAATGCGTAGGTTTTCTTCTAGGGTTTTTATGGTTTTAGGTCTAACGTTTAAGTCTTTAATCCATCTTGAATTAATTTTTGTATAAGGTGTAAGGAAGGGATCCAGTTTCAGCTTTCTCCATATGGCTAGCCAGTTTTCCCAGCACCATTTATTAAATAGGGAATCCTTTCCCCATTGCTTATTTTTCTCAGGTTTGTCAAAGATGAGATAGTTGTAGATATGCGGCGTTATTTCTGAGGGCTCTGTTCTGTTCCATTGATCTATATCTCTGTTTTGGTACCAGTACCGTGCTGTTTTGGTTACTGTAGCCTTGTAGTATAGTTTGAAGTCAGGTAGCGTGATGCCTCCAGCTTTGTTCTTTTGGCTTAGGATTGACTTGGCAATGCGGGCTCTTTTTTGGTTCCATACGAACTTTAAAGTAGTTATTTCCAATTCTGTGAAGAAAGTCATTGGTAGCTTGATGGGGATGGCATTGGATCTATAAATTACCTTGGGCAGCAAAGACTTGGAACCAATCCAAATGTCCAACAGTGATAGACTGGATTAAGAAAATGTGGCACATATACACCATGCAATACTATGCAGCCATAAAAAATGATGAGTTCATGTCCTTTATAGGGACATGGATGAAATTGGAAATCATCATTCTCAGTAAACTATCGCAAGGACAAAAAACCAAACACCGGATGTTCTCACTCATAGGTGGGAATTGAACAATGAGAACACATGGACACAGGAAGGGGAACATCACACTCTGGGGACTGTTATGGGGTGGGGGGAGGGGGGAGGGATAGCACTCGGAGATATACCTAATGCTAGATGACGAGTTAGTGGGTGCAGCACACCAGCATGGCACATGTATACATATGTAACTAACCTGCACATTGTGCACATGTACCCTAAAACTTAAAAGTATATAAAAAAAAAAGGGGGGGGTATACACACAATCAGGTGTCAAGCAGTGGCACCTCGTGCAAAATAATAAACTCATCTAAGATCCTAGCAGTTCATTCTGAAAATAAAGCTGGAAATATATCTTGGATATGTAAAATGTGAGTGTAAAAATTAATGAAACTAAGCAATGGGAATATGAGTAGTAAATTATTTGAGAAAATATTATAACATTTACTTTTTTAAATTTCAAAACTATATTTCCTTATTTAAAACTGAAAATTTTTGTGTACATATAGGAAACTAATTGTGTCATTTTTCTTTTTGTTACAATATAGAGTGATGTTTCAAAACACAAACATAATAGGTAGAGTCAATTACTTAGGGGAGTCTAAACCTGGAGGTAACATTAGAAATAGAAATAATAAAATGCAGTGTTTTTGGATTTGTCTGTTAAGATTATTTTAATCCAGATCATATTTAATGGTTTACATAGTTGTATATCAAATTTGGTTTCAGAAATAAATTATACAGTAAATTTAAAAATGCAAAAAATGTATATTGTTATACATTCTGTAACCTATGAATCCATATAACTTGGGCAAGAAAATTATATAATTAAAAATAAAACCTTTCTGTTCTCAATTATGTTTTAGGGACAGCTATATAGTTCACACTCACAAAGGAATCATAAAAACTCTATGTATAATCTTGGAAGTAAAAATATCTGTTGTATCATATTTATGAAGTATACAATTGATTAAAAATGATAATGTCTGTCTTCTATCCAACGGCAATAACAGAAGATAATGGCATATAAGTAGGCCTGTCTCCTTTTTTTTGGCATTGATTTATATATCTTTACTAGCTTTGTTGTTTTAACTCCAATAAAAGATTATTTAGTAAGCCAAAGCAAAAAAAAAAAAAAAATCCTGTGAGCAGCCACAAACTGAAAGACTACGATTTTTAGTCAATGTCCTAAGCAACACAGTAATTTTAGGTTAACCAATGTGTCAAAGAGAATGAGGAAAAATTATTACAAAAATGAATAAATAAACTGGTCTAGGTCAAACCGTACTCCTTCTAAAGAGAGTAGTCAACTGATATTAAAGCCTGTGACGTAGTATGTGCCATATTGAGTATGCAATATCTAAATATTTCTTTTTTTTCTTTCTCCAGCTACTGCAAACCCTAATTGTTTCCTTATCCGATCACTTTAAAGTCATTCAGCAAATCATAATTATGCCATTGTTAACATCAGAAACTGAAAACCTACTGTCAAAAGTGAGCTAAAATATCATATTTGGATTTATTTATAAATTTATTTTATAAAAAGATTGACTTTCAATTTGAGAATAACATAAAAAATCAATTCATTCCTCTGTGCATCAATATTGTATCATTGGTAGTTTAAACTTTTCATCTAATATTAGATTGCATGCAGGATTTTATATCTAATTACTCTGGCAGATGGCCTTTAGAAAGTTCAAAAATAAAATGCAGCAATTCATATTGGCAGATTTACTATTGAGACCAATGCTTTCTTAACTAAAAGGTTTTGTTTAAAATCGTTAGTTTAGGAAATCTGATAAAGATTTTTGAATATCAGAGCGTTTAAAAGAGATTCTTACTTTACATCTGGCATATTTCTTGTGTTACATATTATAATTTCATTGAACATGGCTGTCTGTAAAACTATGTATATGATCCGGAAGAGACTCAAATTAAATTAAGTTTTAACAGCCATCAATTCATTTTAAAATGACACAGGCATGAAAAATGATCTATCAAGATTTGTAAATCTTATTCTGTTAGCTATTGCTAGAGATAGTCTAAAGGTATTCTACTTGGAATTTGAGATCAAGACAAAGATTTTCTGTTGGTAATAATATTCAGATTATTTTTATTTTAATGTATAAATTTAAAATTCTTAGAATATTTTCAACAATATTTTCCATTTCTAAATTTATTTTATTTCTAAACAAATGTAATTACTTTATTTATTAACTTTTATTTTCAGTTCAGGGGTATATGTGCAGGTTTGTTATATAGGTAAACCTATAGGTAAATAGGTATACAGATTATTTTGTCACCCAGGCATTAAGCCTATGCGCGTTAGTGAAAAATGTTATTGCTTTAAATATCCAAATTATTCAGCTGCATTTGAACTCATTCTTTAGTCCAATGTAAGTAAGAGTAAAACAATGACATTTAAGGCCACCAGGCTATTCTCATTTTTGGAAAAATGCTGGATTACATTACCAGCATATTAAATGAGAATATCAAGGTGTAATATCTCCCTAGAAATTGTCTCACCTTCAATACTATTGACATTTTTGGACCTGATAATTTTGTTGTGGGCTCTAGCCTCATGTTATAGGAGGTTTACCAGTTTTCCTGCCCTAAACTTACCGGATGTGAATAGCATCTTTGGAATCTTCAGAACCTCTTTAGAGTTTGGGATTTAAGAGTCAGTAGGTAGATAGTGAGCTTAAGATGCCAAACACAACATATAAAGCTATAAAAATCCATATGATCTTGAAAGATTAAATGGAAGCCCAGCACAAAACAATTGCTGAGTATATTATTTACATTATCTGAAAGTATGCCAGACAGACACTTTATATGTTAATAAAGATATGAGAAAGAAAATTCCAAAGAGTTTCTAAAAAGTGAACAACCACAAAATTTCAATAGCTTGCAACAGACATTTTCTTCTCACTCATGTTACCTGATGGAAAATCAAATGGCTGCCTGGAGACAGCATGGAGGGAGAGACTGATTACTGAGGTGCACAAGAAAACTTTTCATAATGATGGTTGTGAATGTAGTGATATTTCCAAAAGTATATACATATATATATATATCTATCTCAAATTTGACCACATCACACATTTCAAGTATACTGAATTGACTGTGCATCTCTTATTATACCCCAGGAAAGTTGAAGATATGACAATGAAAAAAAAATTCTTCCACCGACTACCCATCAATTTTCTTCTCATTAGCCTCACAGATTTCACAGTTAATTAAAGGGAAGATGCAAATATGTTCAAACTGTACATATTCTGAGGCCCATACCTTGCCATTAGCTCAATAAAGAGAGACATTGTCCCTGGCATGAAAATGAAAAACTTGCACACTCCCTAGGTGGCTTCTGGACACTCTTAAGACATGAACACACTTTGGGGGCTCACCCTGTCAGGCTTTGCTCTCCGAGCTTAGATGAGAAAAACACAAAAATAAAACCAAAAGGTGACATTTAGGTGCCCATCAAGAAAGATGTGTTGGGAACTGGACAGGTCAGGGCTTTAAGTACTGTATCTTACTGTATGTTTAAGTACTGTATGTTACTGTGGAAACTTACCCATTTTCCCCTCAGAACAACTCTGTCTCAGGAGGTGAGTCTGAGAGCTACTGTTTCTTTGTAAAGGTTTTATCTGATCAGGCCCACGGTCACCACGTCAGCCCCACTGCCCCTAAATAGTTTGAATCTTGATGTTTTGATTTCAAGGACTTCTGATTCTAGCTACATAGCTTTGTCCATTTCCCACCTTACCACTATTTACTTTGAATTTTGTTGCATGCCGAGACCAGTGACTGCCACAAATGTGACTGTTCCTAGAATCTGCTTTCTGCTCTGATCTTTAGTCAGTGCGCAGACTCTAACATAAACTCCTTTCTATCGTATTTTCTTGAGTCCAAGAGCCCATAGATTGTATAATGCACTATTTTATGTCCCGTTAAGCAAGTAATTCGCATTGTGGCTAATTAAACTAAGACATACCACTGAATTGTAAAATGCATTATATTTTCAGGAGATATTAAAATATGAAATGTATAGGTCTTGGAATAGATGAATTGTGACAGTATCTTTGGAAAGCTAATTCAGTTGCAGTATTGCTTAAGATGTCTTTAAGAGCTGACTTCCTTTAGTTGGAATACATATGTAAATTATTTGCAGAGGAGATTTACCTCTTTTATCTCATTCATTTGTTTATTCAGTCATTTATTGATATCAATATGGACTAAGGAAAATTACATTTTTGGGTATAATCCAAATATAATACCAATTAATGTATTGTGTTGCTAAAATTATTCTAGAAATTGAAAGACCTTTCACTTGGCCCCTGTGCTTGTTTGACATATCTCACAAATAGATTTTTGTTAGTATTTTCATAATTTCTGGCACTAGAGGATGTCCCAGGCTCATCTTGTGTATTTTCTTCCCCATTCTTAGAATCAGCCACTTTCAAAGACGCCCTGCTTTCTATATATGAAATCAATATTTAAGTGCTAGCTGTGCCTGTAGCTAAGGGAATATCAATTTTTTCATAGCTCTCTAAGATGAGAGAGCAAAGAAACAATGTGTATATTCTTACACATATGTAGACACATATCTTTAAATATTTCTATATGTAAACATCTATATTAGTCCATTATCCCATTGTTATAAAGAACTACCTGATCCTAGGTAATTTATAAAGAAAAGAGCTTTAATTGCCTCACAGTTGCACAGGCTGTACAGGAAGCAAGGATGGGGAAGCCTCAGAAAACGTACAGTCATAGCAGAAGGCAAAGAGGAAGCAGGCACATCTTACATGGCTGGAGAAGGAGGAAGAGAACTAAGGGGGAGATGCTACACACTTTTAAACAACCAGATTGTGTGAGAACTAAGTCATTATCACAAGAACAGCAAGGAGGAAATCTGCCCCCATAATCCAATCCCCTCCCACTAGACCCCTCCTTCAACACTGGCGATTACAATTGGACGAGAGGTTTGAGAGGGGACAAAATGTAAACCATATCACCATCTATGTCTATATTAAGCTAAACATGGGTTCTTACTGATGTCACTACCTCTAACCTAGTCCCGCAAGCATCAATGCCTTCCTGTATCTCTAAACCCCCACTCCAACAATAAAAATCCTGACTCTTATTTTGTGACATCTATTTAGTTAATTGTTCACTTCCAGTATATGTATATAGCTGTACCAGAATTGATAACCTGCCCTTAGTAGAAGAACATCTTTATCAACTAAATTAAATGCCTTCGTACAAGTTTCTTTTGCCTTTCATCTTAAGAGACTGCACTCATTTTCAATATCACTTTGACTAGCACCCTTTCCCTTAAGTCCCTCACTGAAGTTATTTTGTATGGTTCATAATAGAGCTAGATAAATTTGTAACAGTCTGCATTCCATCCTGAGATTCTACAACCTTTTAATTAATTTTTAATTAAAAATATAACTTTTATTTTGGTAAATATTAGCACTTCTGTGCCACACTACTATATATAAATATCAAAAAAAGGTCCAGAAAGCTATAGAAAATTTAAGTAAAGTGCTGAATGTTGAACCTAACAATAACTGGGCTAAAGTAAGTACAGAAGGCAATTTTTTATTTACGTAAATTTGTGGGATACAAATATAATCTTATTACCTCCATAAAGTACGTAGTGTTGAAGTAAGGGTTTTAGAATATACATCACCTGAAAAATGTACATTGTACTCATTACATAATTTCTCATCATCCCCTCCTCCCACCCTCCTGAAATTTCCAAGTCTCTGTTGTCTATCATTCCACATTCTATGTCCATGTGTATACATTATTTAGCTTCCAGTTATAAGTGAGAACATGCAGTATTTGTCTTTCTGTGTCTGATTTGTTTCACTTAAAATAATGACCAGTTACATCCATGTTGTTACAAAAGACATGATTTTATTCTTTTGTATAGCTGAATAGTATTCTATAGCGCATATATGCCAGATTTATTAATGTAATCATCCACTGAGGGACACATTGCTATTGTGAATAGTGCTGTGATAAACATATGGGTGCAGATACCTTTTTCATACAATTATCTGTTCTCCTTTGGGTAGATCTCCAGTAGTGGGATTGTTGGGTGAAATTGCGGTTTTATTAAGAATGTATATTCTGTAGTTGCTGGGTAGTATTTTCTGTAAATGTCAGTTAGGTCTATTTCATCTAAGGTTGAATTTAAGTCTTAGGTTTATTTGTTTTCTGTCTTGATGATAACATTTAATGCTGTGAGTGAGATGGTAAAGTCCCCCAGTATTATCGTATTGCTGTCTATTCCTTTTTTATGTCTAGTAATATTTATTTGATGAATCTTGGTGGTCTAGTGTTGGATGCATATGTGTTTAGAATTGTTATATCCTCTTGCTGAATTGATCCCTTTATCATTATGTAATGACTTCCTTTGTCATTGTTATACTGTTTTAGATTTAAGTTCTGTTTTACTTGATATAAGTATAGCTATTCCTGCTTGCTTTTAGTCTCCGTTACATGGAGTATCTTTTTTCACCCATTTACTTTAAATCTGTATGTGTCTTTACTTTTCAGTCTGTATGTGTCTATATGTTTCTTGTAAGCATAATATTTTTGGATCATTTTTTAGTTCGTTCCATCAATCTACCTTTCTTTTTTTTTTTTTTTTTACTTTTAGATGGAGTTTCACTCTGTCATCCAGAGTGGAGTGCAGTGGCGCAATCTTGGCTCACTGCAAACTCCGTCTTGCAGGTTCAAGCGATTCTCCTGCTTCAGCCTCCCAAGTAGATGGGATTACAGGTGCCGGCCACCACGCCTGGCTAATTTTTGTATTTTTAATGGAGATAGGGTTTCACTATGTTGGCCAGCCTGGCCTCGAACTCCTGACCTCGTGATCCACCCACCTCGGCCTCCCAAAGTGCTGGGATTACAGGTGTGAGCAACTGCACCTGGCCCAATATCTATCAATCTATATATTTTAAGTGGAATGTTTAATTCATTTACATTCAAGGTTAATGTTAATACATGAGGTTTTCTTTCTGCCATATTGCTGTTTGTTTTCTACTTGTTTTATAAGTTCCTTGGGGTTATTTTGTTGTTGTTTTTTGTTTTTCTTTCTGTGTGTCTCTTTGTCTTTGTGGTTTGGTGGAAATCTGTTGTGTTGCTATTTGATTGCTCGTCCTACTTTGTGTGACTGTTTTACAAGACCTATGAGTTTGCTACTTTCATGTGTTTTGATGATGATGATGAATGTTGACCTTTCATTTTTGTGTTTGGGACACCTTTGAGTATTTCTCATAGGACTCGTTTGGTGGTGACGAATTCCCTCAGTGTGTGCTTGTCTGGAAAATACTTTGAATCATTTCAAGAAAATTAGCAGTGAGTTATGTCAATCAAGCCATTGGTTTGTATTTGGTGGCACATTTACTCTGTATTATTTCACACTAGAACCATCTGAGTTAAGTTTTATTATTTGCTATATGTTGCAGATGAAGAAACTGAAGCTGAGAGAGGTTTAGTGAATGACTGAAAAGGTTGTCAGGCTGCAGGGAAAAAAACAAAACAAAACTGTACGACTAGCCTGCAATGCTTCCCAAAGTATGTAGCTTATTATTATTGGTCACTTTTTGAGTACAAAATGCTGTGCTATGTAACAAAATAATACAATGTACATATGTATAAAAGTTAACATATACATATCAATTAACATAAGCATAACTGTAATCACATATACTGATAAATAAAAATATAAAGTAATATATGGTAATGACCCAACCATTTGCCTAAGTTTCATGTATTACAGAAGTTTTGAGGAGGGACTTCAGCTGTATGCAAATCAGCAATTCGGGTTGTACAGTTGATTACCCATTAGTTCAGAATTTTAATAATTTAAAATATATTTATTAAGAACCTAACAATTGGAAGACCTTACAATAGGTGGGAAAATTCGACAGATGAATAATGCTTAGGAGATATCAGCATGTTTTGGAAGGATATTCCCATGAAGAGAAAAAGTATTGTGGGAAGTGTGGGAAGTGTTATGGTGCGAGAGTAATATAGGTTCCAGCATGTGTTTACATTATTTTGTTGGAGGTGTTGGGGAACCTTTCATGGAAGGTGTGTGGTAGACTGTTGGACAGGTTTCCTCAACTTTCGTTCCACTCTTTGAAGAGGTTAGAAAATTAAAACAAAACAAGCAATGCAGCTTCCCTTGAGCTAGCTTTATGAATGCAGCTTAGACCACTTACCGATTGTTTGCATATGAATCAGACTTAGAAAAATGGAAGAGATCAAAGCCTGTCTTGCTATTGTTGATTCTGGCAAGTGAAATCATGGGGACAATAGTTCAGAAGTAGTGGAAGTGGTAGGATTCAATATCCTTGTGCCTAATCCCCAGTTTCATGGGCATAAGAGGCTTAAAGTTTTAATAGCAGGAGCATCTTTTTGACCCAGGATTGCAGAAATGATTGCGTGCCTTTGAATTCAAGAACTCAAAACCTTCCTCCATGCCACAGCTACTTTAGTTATTTTAGCCCTTCCTATTGTATATGTATGAAATGCACTTTCTGCTTAAGATACCTATTGCGGTTTTTATTTCCTTATTAAAACCTTGGAAAAATATAGCACTTAAATTATGTTTTGTAGAAATTCACTAAGCAAATAAAGCTAAAGGGGGAGAGAGTTAACCTTCTCTGCCCCCTTTTTATCAGAAGTTAGTTGTAGAAGAAATACACAATTTTTGCGCAATGTTAGCACCATCTAAGTTCTGTAGGTCTGGAACACAGACTGGTTAAATGAGCATTTCAGGAGCGCTATAGTTGCAAAGTTAAGCAGTCACCACAATTTTATGTGTCATACAAAGATTTTTAACTTTATGTTTAAGCAACGAGCCTAGAAGCAAATGGTATTTCCATCAAGAATTGTCTCATATAAAGTAGAGCGTTTTGGAAAATGGAGTTATTAATAGATAAAAACATGTTTATACAGTTGGTTTCTAAGTATGACAAACCTATTTCTTGGTAAATTGCAAGTCCATTCCACCTGTGTTTGTAGGCTCATTTGCCTAAAAGTCTTGGGATTTTTTTCTGATGATCTATTAAATTTTCTTTCTGATTATCTTTTCTAATGCTGTAATAGCATTTCTAACACTGTAATGAAAGAGAACAAAAGTACACGCTTGCTCATCATTTACTAATTCTAAAAATATATATTGAATACATCTATGTAGCAGGTACTGTGGTAGGTGTGGAAGATAGTTGAGACAGGTAACAAGCCCAACATTACGGAGCTTAGCATCACCACCTAGAAGAGTTTTTAAAAAACATAGATAAGTGAATCATGATTATAAAGACAAAGAGATTCTTGCCATATAATTACATATAAGCAAATTTAGGATGTGATGAAAGATTTTGATATTGGTCTTCTGATTTGGCTGTAGGATGAAGTGTTTATAAGTCATCCCAAGGAAGAAACAATTCAGATGAGAACTATTCAATGGATTTGCAATAACAATCCAAAGATGGAAGAAGACACTTCTAGGTAGACAAAATTGCAAGTATAGAGAATGTAAATTAAGAGAGAGCTTAGCTTTCAGATGAATTAAAAGATTGTGGTGATCAGAATGTAGAGATTGACGAGAGACAAATGAAATAAAACTAGAAGGACAAGTAGAGATTTGTGGGTCAAGTTTTAAAATTTTATTATAAATGCACTGATACTGTTCTGAACATTTTCTTACACATGGAAATTTAATGATTATGGCTATTGAAAAATGTAACTCTTCATTTATATTTTTCCGAGAATGAAATCGGTGGAATTGCTGGGGGGTGAAAATGTCCAATGCGAAACAGGAGGCTAATTTAAGAAGGGATACTGCAAAATTGGTCATGATGGCTCAAACTGCTGTTCATAATAGAGAGAAGAAAATGGATAGAGTTACATATGGATGAGAGTAAATTGACAAGGCTAAATGCTAAAACGTGGGTAGTGACAGAAAGTAGGTGTCAAAATAGACTTCCAGGAAAAGAAAAAATGGGTCTACAGAAGAGCCAAATGCTGATGTGGGTTACATGATCCTGAGCAGATGCAGTTGTAATTGGTTAAGTAAAGTAAGTTCTTAAGATAGATTTGGCCTGGCGCTATACATTCTAGAGCCCTTGAATATAAGTGGGATATAAAACCATGGGAATGACTGTATTTGTCTAAGGAGAGAATTTGGCAGAAGAAAAGGAGACATAAGATGAAATGCAGAGGAAATTCAAATTTAATTGGCAGGTGTAGGAAGACAAGGAGATGACAAAAGGAACTGGAAATGAGTAATCAGAGACAGAAAAGTAAAAGTAAGAGTAGAATGTCATGGAAGGCAAATAATTGGAATGTTTCAAGATCAGGGAAATGGGCAATAAAGAGAAGAAAAAAATAGTGACCAGAGGGTATAGTAATGTGTAGAAATTCATCCTGTGTTAGGTTTGATTGCTTAGACGTTTTATATAAAAATCTTTCCCAGAGAGTAATAAAACAGAAGTGAGGTTAGAGAAAGAACATACGATTTAGCCAAAAGGTGGGAAAAGTTAGGAAATGAAGAATAAATATGTTTAAAGATAATGTTATGGCTACTCAATGTACAACCTCTTTTCTTTCATTATTTTTAATTGTCATATTTAAAAATAGTAATTACCACTTTTAAAAATTGTCTTATTATTTGTTACATAAGAAAATGCATTAATTCAAGCCACATAGTATCATTTATATTATGACTGTCGAAACATTACTAGAATTACTAGAACTATTAACCTAATGGCCTGAAAATTTCAACTCACTTCCCTAGCTGTCCTGATGATCATTAGTGAAAGGAAAGACTCCATTAGATAATGCTTACTTATAGAGAACTGGTTATATCTGTCTCATTTCCATACATATATCTGTATAAATTAATTTGATTAATAAAACAAACACAAGGCACAAACAACAAAACACAATTTATAAATGTCATTGAAAAATGCATGCCTGTACAATTTGGGTATTTGTAATTGTAAATTGATATACTTCATTTTTTATCCAGGAGTTACTTAGATTGAAACTTTACCTAATGTATGATAAAATAATACGTGATTAAATTTAAAAACATGATGAATTTATTTAAAATTGGCTTCAATAATGTCAGAAAGTAATAAAATAAAATGATTCCTTCAAAGACTGCACCTGTTTATTGCCTGAGATTATCTCTCTTGGCCACAAATCAATATTACTTTCTTTCATTCATCAGTGATAAAGCTTTTCAATAATTCTAATTTTAAAGGATGATTACAGCAAGTATATAGTCATTGATTGCTTAAAGGTTGCAGCTAAAATGAACACAATGGTCATTTTATTTTTAATAAATGAGCCCTTTTGAAAAGTCAAGCATTTTTCCTCTCACAAAACTTTGTGTAATAAGATTATAGATTTGATCATGTATGAGTTTGCACTGTGTGTGTGTATATATGTGTGTGTGATTTCAGCGATAAAGTTCACTGTTCCACAGCTGGCAATTTCTTCTGCTTAATTGAAAATTCCGTTTTAAAATATTTCTTTAAAGTTCTAAAATGGGTTTAAATGGGTTCATGAGCTGTAATACTATTAAAAATATATATATCTACATATTTGTTGATTCTTCTCAGTTTAAGAAGTGGAGCTTCATACTCCTCCCCTTGAAGGCAGGCTAAGCTGAGTGACTCCCATCTAAGAAATAAAACACCACAGGATTGGAATGTTACCTTCTGAGACAAGGTCACAAAGGCTAGGGTTTTAATTTTGAGTGAACTAATTTGCTCCTTACTGGTGTTTCTCTCTCTTTCTCTCCTTCAACTCTTTACGAGCCCAGCCACCATGCAAATAATTCCAAACTATCTTTTCTAGAAAGCTCACATGAAGAACCGAGGCATCCTATCTGATATCCAGCCAAATGATTAAACATTCTAGAAGCAGACTATGATGCACTGAATTTGTGAAATCCTAACCCCCAGTGTAATGATAGTAGGAGGTGGAGCTTTTGGTAGATGATAGTCTGTCTTCATGTTGGGGATTAGTGCCTTGATTATTATTTTTTATTTTTATTTTTATTTATTTATTTATTTATTTTTTGAGACAGAGTTTTGCTCTGTTACCCAGGCTGGAGTGCAGTGGTGCCATGTCAGCTCACTGCAGCGTCTGCCTCCTGGGTTCAAGTGTTTCTTCTGCCTCAGCCTCCTGAGTAGCTGAGACTACAGGTACGCACCACCACACCTGGCTAATTTTTGTATTTTTAGTAGAGACGGGGTTTCACCATACTGGCCAGGCTGGTCTGGAACTCCTGACCTCGTGATCTGCCTGCCTCAGCCTCCCAAAGTACTGGGATTACAGATGTGAGCCACCGTGCCCAGCCGGGGATTAGTGCCCTTGTAAAAGAGACCCCAAAAAGCGTCCTTGCCCCTTCTGCCATGTGAGCTAGAGGACAGTAATCTATGAACTAAAAAATGGGCTCTGACCAGACACCAAATCTGCAAGCACCTTGATTTTGCACCATCCAGCCTCCGGTACCATTAGAAACGTTTCTGTTGTTTATAAGCTACCCTGTCTATGGTATTCTGTAGCGACAGTGCAAACAAACTAAGACACGGACCTTCCAACACAAGTTAAAGGCTTCAGGGGATGCTGCCTGGGTCAACAACATGACAGCAACCTTTACTCATGAGAGACTTCGAGTCAGAACCACCTACCCAAATCCATCATTTCCCTGACTTCTATAAATTGTGTCATACATATTTGTTATTTTAAGCCATTAAGTTTTAGGGTAATTTTTAAATGGAAAAATACATGATCATAGGTAAACTATAATTAATAGAAAAATCTAATGCCAATAATATTTACCATTGATTGACCGTCAAAACTCCATTAATTATTTGCTTTCCATTTATATTTATTTTTGGATTTCTTTTTTAAGAGAATGGCACCTGTGACAGCATACTGTTAATATTACCCTTTTATCGTACTTTACCATGCCATCTCTGAAGAATATTACAGACCATTTTGGAGCATGGTGAATAAGAAATTTTCACCTTAGGAGTTCACTTGAATAGTCATTTTTATATTTGTGACTGCAAGTCACTTTTAGGGGCTGTACTTCCTTAGTACTGGTAGCATTATTATCCAATGGACTTTTTTAGCTTTCATTAGGTTTTCTTTTGTTTTTGTTCTTTAAAGAACGTTTTACTTGTCTTAGTATTTCATTTTTTAATCTATACTATGAGGCAGTAAGAGTCTTCTGTTTTTCCAAAGTGGAGACTGCTTTATATTTATTTCGTATTGTCTACAGCTGTAGTGTTCAATACATTAGCCACTAGCCACATGTGGTTATTTAAATAAGATAAAATAAAAATTGGCCGGGCGTGGTGGCTCACGCCGGTAATCCCAGCACTTTGGGAGGCCGAGGCGGGCAGATCATTAGGTCAGGAGATCGAGACCATCCTTACTAAGACGGTGAACCCCCATCTCTATTAAAAATACAAAAAATTAGCCGGGCGTGGTGGCGGGCGCCTGCAGTCCCAGCTACTCAGGAGGCTGAGGCAGGAGAATGGCGTGAACCTGGGAGGCAGAGTTTGCAGTGAGCCGAGATGGCGCCACTGCACTCCAGCCTGGGGGACAGAGCGAGACTCCATCTCAAAAAAAAAAAAGAAAATTAAAAATTAAGTTCTTTAGTTGCACTAGCCATATTTCAAATACTTGATGGATACATGTGGCTAGTGGCTAACATAAGGGATAGCACAGATATAAAACATTTCCTCGTCATATAAAGTTCTATTGGATAGTGCTGGTCTGTAGCTTATAGGATGGTATCTTAGTCTGCTTCAGCTGCTAAAACAGAATACCATAAATTAGGTAGCTTAAACAGTAGATATTTTGACCAGGCGTGGTGGCTTATGCCTGTATTCCTAACACTTTGGGAGGCCGAGGCAGGTGGATAACTTGAGCTCAGGAGTTTGAGACTAGCCTGGGCAGCATGGCAAAACCTTGTCTCTACGAAAATCAGCTGGGCATGGTGGTGCACGCCTGTAGTCTGAGCTACTTGGGAGGCTGAGGTGGGAGAATTGCTTGAACCTGGGAGGCGGAGGTTGCAGTGAGCCATGATCGCACCACTGTACTCCAGCCTGGATGACAGAATGAGACTCTGTCTCAAAAAAAACAAAAACAAACAAACAAAAAAACAGATATTTCTCACAGTTCTGGAGACTGGAAGTGCAAGATCAAAGTGTTGGCAAATTGTGTTTCTTAAAGAGGGCCTGCTTCCTAGATTGGAAATGGCCATCTTCTCTCGGTATCCTCACATGGTAGGGAGAAAAGCAGCTCTAGTGTCTCTTCTTATAAAGGAAGTAATGCCACCATAGGGGCTCTATTCTCATGACCTCATCTAAACCTAATTCTCTCCTAAAGGCCACGCCTCCCAGTATCCTCACCTTGGGGGTTAGGGCTTTATCATATGAATTTTTTTTTTTTTTTTTTTTGAGACAGAGTCTCGCTCTGTCTGTCACCCAGGCTGGAGTGCAGTGGCACAATCTCGGCTCTCTACAAGCTCCGCCTCCTGGGTTCACGCCGTTCTCCTGCGTCAGCCTCCTCAGTAGCTGGGACTAAGGCGCCCGCCACTGCGCCCGGCTAATTTTTTGTATTTTCAGTAGAGACGGGGTTTTACCATGTTAGCCAGGATGATCTCGATCTCCTGACCTCATGATCCACCCGCCTCGGCCTCCCAAAGTGCTGGGATTACAGGCATGAGCCACCGCGCCCGGCCTATCATATGAATTTTGAGGGAACACAAACATGCAGTCTGTAGCAGATGGTAATAGGCTGACATATTACACTTGTTGATGTAAATCTGATAGGTTTCTTTCTCTCCAAGGACAGCTTTTTAAATATTTAACAGTATCAATAATTTTTCAGGTTCTGTGAGAATTTTATAATTTATAATTTGCAGACTTAACGTATAATCTATTTTGTCCTAACAATTACAAATATATTTTTTATTTCAGATTGTATATATTCCTACCAGATGGAGATAATTACAGCTTTAAAAATTTTTATTTTTTCATTTTATTTCACACATTGACATTAAATTTTTATGGACACATAATAACTGTACATATATATGGGGTAGAATGTGATGTTTTAATACATGTACTCAATGTGTAATGATCAAATCAGGGTAATTTGCATAATGATTTTTCTGTAGGGAGAAAATTCAAAATCTACTCTTCTGGCTATTTTCAAATATATAATATGTTATTGTTAACTATACTCATCCTACTATGCAATAGGACACCAGAACTTATTCCTGGGTTCTACATCCGTTAAGGCAACCAAGGATTGGAAATATTGGAAAAAAAAATTGCGTCTGTACTGAACATGTACAGACTTTTTTCTTGTCCTTATTCCTTACACAATATAGTACAATAACTATTTGCATGACATTTACATCGGATATTATGAGTGATCTAGAGTTGATATGAAGTATATGGGAGGATGTGCAAAGGTGATGTGCAAATACTATGTCATTTTATATCAGGGACTTGAGTATCCTTTGTTACCCTCAGGAGATCCTGAAACCAGTCCCCCATGGATACTGAGGGCTGACTGTATAGTCCTATCCTCACGGAACTTTCATTCTAATGGGGGAAGACTGACTATAAACAAAATATATGTAATAGGTGGTGGTAAGTACCGTGGAGAAGTAACAAATGGGGCAAAGTGAGTTATACAGCTCCATTCTTAGAAACCTTGGAGTACTTTTCTTAGTTTATACTCGTGGTGGTTTCCTTTTGTCTCCTTTATTACATGGGACTCTGACATGTGCCCATAGCTAGGGTGACAGTAGGATCTACCCGATAGTAGGGTGGCAGTAGGATCTACCCAAAAAGCGTCCTGCTGATACAGGACCAAAGCATCCTGTTGTTCTCGAGCCTATAAAAAGAGCTAATGGTGTTGCTTCTCTTAACTGTGGCCTCCTACACTGTGTTTTGGATGATTGGTGATGTCTTGGATATTCTGTTTCTTTGGAACTTTGAATATACAACACTTTACTAGGGAATTAGCAATGGAAGCAGAGCAAAGATGTACAGAGGAAACAATGCGTAACTCTGATGGAATTGAAGTCATGAGGCAGCAGAGAGCTTAAATTACAGCTTTAAAAATTTTTATTTTTTAGAGGGAATTTACTTGGGAGTAACAGCAGTAATAGTTAA
This sequence comes from Homo sapiens, assembly GCF_000001405.40. Classification (NCBI taxonomy): domain Eukaryota; kingdom Metazoa; phylum Chordata; class Mammalia; order Primates; family Hominidae; genus Homo; species Homo sapiens. The sequence continues at coordinate 103,676 of NT_187651.1, forward strand.
CGGAGCCAGAATGCTTGAGTCATATAATTGCAAAGCAGAGTTGGGAGCAACAGATGCTAAAGAGTAGTTGCTGTAGTTCCTCTTTGGGTCGTAGGAGCAGTTGTCATATTACTATATAGCTACTGCATGAAGAAGAGTTCTTAGTGAGGCCTGGGTGAACAGCTCTTCTTAGTATTCTGTGTGACCCCATTTGACCTTTTAACAAATCCCTAAGTAAATAAATAGCCCCTCAGGAAAACTAAGTTTTTCTCTGCTGTTTTTTTGCTTGAGAGAGCTATAACTGTAATAGACTTATATTTCTGAACATTTTAGTGCTTGCCAATATTTGGTAATATTTATGTTTCCTATATTTGTAATGAACATTCTTCTTCCGGTACATTTTTTGTTAAATTATTGTTTGATGGATAAAAGTTCACCTTTTATTGTATAAAATTGACTGAGATTAATTTATACACATTGACAATGGGTAAATAGAATTTTTCAGATTATTAAAAGCTGAAGGATGCCCACGTAAGCAAAAAAAAAAAAGAAAAAACCAACAAAAATAAACCCAAACCCCTCAAACAATTTCGAACACGAAACATTCTTCTGATGCCGGCATCCCTGCTTGCAGGTGTGAAGGGGGCAGGAATCAGCGAGGTGTCCTGGGCTGAGTCCCCGGAGTGGGAAGAGGTGGCAGGAAGGGGATCTGAGGAGGAGAACAGGGGTCCTGGTGGTCTGTGCTTCTTCCCAGACACGGGAGCTGTAGAGGAGACCTCTGCAGCAGATGCTAGGGGGGCCAGTAGGCCCAGGCAGTCTTGGGACTTGGGTCTGTCCTGCTGTGCATCCATAGTGGGTGCTTTAGAAACGGGAGGCCCACCCGAAGCCCCTGTTGCAAGTGAGGACAAAGTGTGGGAAGGCCGTGAGGGTCTGCAGTCCGAGATGGCCTTGTCCTCAACGTGCAGTGCACTGTTGATGCGGGGCCTAGAGGCCTGGGATCTGGGGGAGCCACCCCTGGGGGCGAGTGTCTGCCCTGGTGCTGTACCTGCCTTGTTTTCACAGCGGTGACCCGAAGAGACAGCCTGAGGTCCGTCCTCACTCACTGTGTTTGAGGAACTGTGGGCCAGCTGGCAGTGGGATGAGGCTGGCCCCCTCCTCCGCTTTAGTTCCTGGAGGCCTTCCGTAGAGCTGTGGGAGCTGGAGCTGGCATTTCGTTTGAGGCAGGATCTGGTCCGGGAGGTCTGGGATCTCTGGTTATATCTCACTTCTGACCTCTGGGCACGTGCTGCAGCTGTGGCTGAGGCCAAGAAATGTGAGGGGCCTCCATCCACTGCATTGAGTAGCGACCCCGACGTGGGGTTCAATGTGGAGGGGGGAAGGGCTGCTGCGGCAGCTGCAGGAGCCGAGGTGCCAGGCCTTGTTCTTCTCATGCCGGCATCCCTGCTTGCAGCTGTGAAGGTGGCAGGAATCAGCGAGGTGACCTGGGCTGAGTCCCGGGAGTGGGAAGAGGTGGCAGGAAGGGGATCTGAGGAGGAGAACAGGGGTCCTGGTGGTCTGTGCTTCTTCCCAGACACGGGAGCTGTAGAGGGGACCTCTGCAGCAGATGCTAGGGGGGCCACTAGGCCCAGGCAGTCTTGGGACTTGGGTCTGTCCTGCTGTGCGTCCATAGTGGGTGCTTTAGAAACGGGAGGCCCACCCGAAGCCCCTGTTGCAAGTGAGGACAAAGTGTGGGAAGGCCGTGAGGGTCTGCAGTCCGAGATGGCCTTGTCCTCAACGTACAGTGCACTGTTGATGTGGGGCCTAGAGGCCTGGGATCTGGGGGAGCCTCCCCTGGGGGCGAGTGTCTGCCCTGGTGCTGTACCTGCCTTGTTTTCACAGCGGTGACCCGAAGAGACAGCCTGAGGTCCGTCCTCACTCACTGTGTTTGAGGAACTGTGGGCCAGCTGGCAGTGGGATGAGGCTGGCCCCCTCCTCCGCTTTAGTTCCTGGAGGCCTTCCGTAGAGCTGTGGGAGCTGGAGCTGGAGCTGGCATTTCGTTTGAGGCAGGATCTGGTCCGGGAGGTCTGGGATCTCTGGTTATATCTCACTTCTGACCTCTGGGCACGTGCTGCAGCTGTGGCTGAGGCCAAGAAATGTGAGGGGCCTCCATCCACTGCATTGAGTAGTGACCCCGACGTGTTGTTCAATGTGGAGGGGGGAGGGGCTGCTGTGGCAGCTGCAGGAGCCGACCTTGTTCTTCTCATGCCGGCATCCCTGCTTGCAGCTGTGAAGGTGGCAGGAATCAGCGAGGTGACCTGTGCTGTGTCCCGGGAGTGGTAAGAGGTGGCAGGAAGGGGATCTGAGGAGGAGAACAGGGGTCCTGGTGGTCTGTGCTTCTTCCCAGACACGGGAGCTGTAGAGGGGACCTCTGCAGCAGATGCTAGGGGGGCCAGTAGGCCCAGGGAGTCTTGGGACTTGGGTCTGTCCTGCTGTGCATCCATAGTGGGTGCTTTAGAAACGGGAGGCCCACCCGAAGCCCCTGTTGCAAGTGAGGACAAAGTGTGGGAAGGCCGTGAGGGTCTGCAGTCCGAGATGGCCTTGTCCTCAACGTGCAGTGCAGTGTTGATGTGGGGCCTAGAGGCCTGGGATCTGGGGGAGCCACCCCTGGGGGCAAGTGTCTGCCCTGGTGCTGTACCTGCCTTGTTTTCACAGCGGTGACCCGAAGAGACAGCCTGAGGTCCGTCCTCACTCACTGTGTTTGAGGAACTGAGGGCCAGCTGGCAGTGGGATGAGGCTGGCCCCCTCCTCCGCTTTACTTCCTGGAGGCCTTCCGTAGAGCTGTGGGAGCTGGAGCTGGCATTTCGTTTGAGGCAGGATCTGGTCCGGGAGGTCTGGGATCTCTGGTTATATCTCACTTCTGACCTCTGGGCACGTGCTGCAGCTGTGGCTGAGGCCAAGAAATGTGAGGGGCCTCCATCCACTGCATTGAGTAGTGACCCCGACGTGGGGTTCAATGTGGAGGGGGGAGGGGCTGCTGCGGCAGCTGCAGGAGCCGACCTTGTTCTTCTCATGCCGGCATCCCTGCTTGCAGCTGTGAAGGGGGCAGGAATCATCGAGGTGACCTGGGCTGAGTCCCGGGAGTGGGAAGAGTTGGCAGGAAGGGGATCTGAGGAGGAGAACAGGGGTCCTGGTGGTCTGTGCTTCTTCCCAGACACGGGAGCTGTAGCGGGGACCTCTGCAGCAGATGCTAGGGGGGCCACTAGGCCCAGGCAGTCTTGGGACTTGGGTCTGTCCTGCTGTGCATCCATAGTGGGTGCTTTAGAAACGGGAGGCCCACCCGAAGCCCCTGTTGCAAGTGAGGACAAAGTGTGGGAAGGCCGTGAGGGTCTGCAGTCCGGGATGGCCTTGTCCTCAACGTGCAGTGCACTGTTGATGCGCTGGAATGCCGTCTCTTTTTCCAGGTGCAGGTCTTCAGCCGTGACCCGGTACCCCAGCTCTAAGGGAGGTGGCAGCATCAAAGGCTCCCCTCGCCTGCGTGGCAGCAGGGGAATCTTGCGTCTACGGGGCCTAGAGTCCTGGGATCTGGGGGAGCCACCCGTTGGGGCGATTGTCTGCCCTGGTGCTGTATCTGCCCCCTTTTCACACCGTGTGTGACCCAAAGAGACAGCCTGAGGCCTGTCCTCACTCACTGTCTTTGAGTAACTGAGGGTCAGCTGGCAGCGGGATGAGGCTGGCCCCCTCCTCTGCTTTAGCCCCGGCAAGCCTCCCGTGGAGCTGTAGGAGCTGGAGATGGCATTTCGTTTGGTGCTCGAGCTCGTCCAGGATGTCTGGGATGTGTGGTTATATCTGATTTCTGAGCTCTGGGCGTGGAGGTCTGTCTGCAGAGGCCCGGGCCTGGGCACAAAGGGAGAGGGGCCTCCATTGTCCCGCAGGGGCCAAAATGCAGACCGTGCATCCCCGGTGACCTCGGGGACCGTTCTCTGATCATCAGGATTTTCTTGGACTCTGGGGTCCTTGTGCTGCTCAGGCATCCCTGCCCCGCTCTCCTTGAGGGCCCTCAACACTATCTTCCCTGGACACAAGTCTGGGGACAGCCGGGTGTTGTGGACCCCAAAGGGGTGACTACCTGCTCCTGGGCCCCACAGAGTCCTTGTGCTCAGTGTAGTGGCTGAGCTGGGGGATGCCCTGGAACTCGGAGCACACAGCACTGGCTTACTGTGGTACCTGTGCAGTGAAATTGAAGATAGAATCACCAGGATGGAACACAGGTCTTGCAGGATCACGGAAAACCTTCTTAGAGTTGTCTTGACACCACTGATGTCGAGTGTGCGGGTGTTTGTAGGATGGCCTGCCACTCAGTCCAGGGGCAGGAGCAACGGGGAGATCCCACAAGCAAAGTGAACTGGGGGATGGGCTGAAGGGGCTCCAGGCAACTGAGCCCTACTCGCAGGTCCTCGGCCTTGGCCCAAACAGGAATGAGGGGCACAGAGTGCCCGGGTAACCGCTCCTGGGAGCAGTGGGGAACTGTCGGATACTTGAACTCTCAAGAGCTGGGCTCTGAGCGTCCTCATCCAGCTGCCAACTTGGCCAAAGGCTAAGCCAGCAGATTGTTCTGTTGCCGGGCAACGCGACTTCTAAACCTGAGGGAGTGGGCATGTGAGCACATAATGGCACCAGTGACAGAGCGACCATAATGGATGAATAAGCACAGCCAGGTACCCGCGCAAGGCACCTGCTGGCAATGGCAGGAGGCGGACGTGGGGGGTCGTGCAGTAGGTACTGGAGGGAGAGACGTGGGCACAAAGGTCGCGGGAGGAACAGGTGCCCACAATGGCTGCATATTTGCCCGTGGATCACTGAAGATTCCTGCTCTCCTGCTGAGGTGGAGACTGCAGTGAGCTGAGATCGCACCATTGCACTCCAGCCTGGGCAACGAGTGCAAAACTCAGTCTCCAGATAAAAAAAAGAAAAAGAAAAAAAAGAGGCCGGGTGTGGTGGCTTATGCCTATGATCCTAGCACTTTGGGAGGTCGGGGTGGACGGATCACGAGATCAGGAGTTGGAGGCCAGCCTGGCCAACATAGTGAAAGCCCGTCTCTAGTAAAAATACAAAATTTAGTCAGACATGGTGGGCAGGAGAGAGCATGTGCAGGGGAACATCCATTTATAAAACCATCAGACCTCATGAGACTTATTCACTACCATGAGAACAGCATGGGGGAAACTGCCTCCATGATTCAGTTATCTCCACCTGGCCCCACCCTTGACACATGGGAATTGTTACAATTCAAGATGAGATTTGGGTGCGGACAGAGCCAAACCATATAATTCTTCCCCGGCCCCTCCCAAATCTCATGTCCTCATATTTCAAAAGCAATCGTGCCTTCCCCTAAGTCCCCCAAACTCTTATTTCAGCATTAACTCAAAATTCCATAGTCCAAAGTCTCATCTGAGACAAGGCAAGTCCCTTCCACCTATGAGCCTGTAAAATCAAAAGCAAGTTAGTTATTTTCTAGATACACAGGGATACAGGCATTGGGTAAATACACTCGTTTCAAATGGGAGAAATTGGCCAAAGCAAAAGAGCTACAGGCCCCATGCAAGTCCAAAACCCAGCAGGCAAATCTTAAAGCTCCAAAATGACCTCCTTTGACTCCATGTGTCACATCTAGGTGATGCAAGAAGTGGGTTCCCAGGGTCTTGGGCAGCCCCGCCCCTGTGGCTTTGCAGGGTACAGCCCCCCTTCTGGCTGCATTGAGTGTCTGCAGCTTTTCCAGGCACACAGTGCAAGCTGTCAGTGGATCTACCATTCTGGGGTCTGGAGGATGGTGGCCCTTTTCTCACAGCTCTGCTTGGCAGTACCCCAGTGGGGACTCTGTGTGGGAGCTCCAACCCCATATTTCCCTTTGACACTGCCCTAGCAGAGGTTATCCATGAGGGCCCCCCCCTCCCCTCCCCCCCACAGCAAACTTTTGCCTGGATTTCCAGGCATTTTCATACATCTTCTGAAATGTAGGCGGAGGTTCATGAACGTTAATTCTTGACTTTGGTGCATCTGCAGGCTTAACACCACCTAGAACCTGAAAGGCTTGGAACTTGCACCCTCTGAAGCCATGGCCTGAGGTGTACCTTGGCCCCTTTTACCTATGGCAGGAGCAGCTGGGATGCAGGGCCCCAAGTTCCTAGGCTGCACACAGCAGGGGGTTCTGGACCCACAAAACCATTTTTCCTTCTAAGCCTCCTGGCCTGTGATGGGAGGGTCTGCTGTGAGGGTCTCTAACATGCCCTGGAGACATTTGCCCCATTGTCTTGGTGATTAACATTTGGCTCCTCATTACTTATGCAAATTTCTACAACCCAGTCTCCTGAGAAAATAGATTTTTCTTTTCTGTTGCATCATCAGGCTACAAATTTTCTGAACTTTTATGCTCTGCTTCTTCTCGAATGCTTTGCTGCTTAGAAATTTCTTCTGTCAGATACCTTAAATCATCTCTCTCAAGTTCAAAGTTCCACAGATCTGTAGGGAACTCTAGAAAGAAATTCTTATTTTCCCTCTTTCCCGCCTATCTTATGCCCGTTTCTAATACAGGTGCACAATGCCTGCAGTGTCTTTGCATAGTAAGAGTGACTTTACTCCATTTCCCAACAAATTCCTCATCTCCCTCTGAGACCACCTCCGCCTGGACCTTGTTGTCCATATCACTATTAACATTTTGGTCAAAGCCATTCAACAAGTCTCTAGGAAGTTCCAAACTTTCCCACATTTTCCTATCCTCTTCTGAGCCTTCCAAACTGTTCCAGCCTCTCCCTGTTACCCATTTCCAAAGTTGCTTCCACATTTTCGGGTATCTTTACAGCAGCACCCCACTCTACTGGTATCAACTTATTGTATTAGTCTGTTCTCACACCGCAAATAAAGACATACCTGAGACTGGGTAATTTATAAAGGAAAGAGGTTGAATTGACTCACAGTTCTGCATGGCTGGGGAGGCCTCACAATCATGGTGGAAGGCAAGGAGGTGCAAAAGCATGTCTCACATAGTGGCAGGCAGGAGAGAGCATGTGCAGGGGAGCTCCCATTTATAAAACCATCAGATCTCATGAGACTTAGTCACTACCGCGAGAACAGTATGGGGGGAACCATCCCCATGATTCAGTTATCTGCACCCGGCCCCACCCTTGACACGTGGGAATTATTACAATGCAAGGTGAGATTTGGGTGGGGACCCATCCAAACTATGTCAGTATGTTTTGACTTCTTGCTTGATTGCTAGGTTGCATAGAGGACAAACATGGAAATTAATGAAGTACCTTAATATCTGGCTTCAGATCTTAGACAGGATCAGAGGGCCAGCTCAAATTTGCAAGGAGGGGAGGTAGATCCCACCATTTTATGGGTGAATGGCAAAATCAAACAGAAATTATGTGGGATGGGAGATACTGATGCAGCCATCTTTGGAAACATTCTACTTAGCTAATTTTATGCTAGGCTTTAGGTCAAGAAGGAGAGAGAGAGCTGACATGCTGTGGTACACACTTATAGTCCCAGCGACTTGGAAAGCTGAGGCAGGAGGATTGCTTGATCCCAGGAGTTTGAGGTAGTGTGCGATGATCGTTCTTGTGAATAGCCACTAGCCACTGAACTCCAGCTTGGGCAACATTGAGACACCCTGTCTCTTAATTTAAAAAAAAAAAAAAAAAAAGGAAAGAAAGTGGTCTCAGTTTTTAATGTAAGTATTTTTAATGGGATAATGATATTTTAAGATTAATGTATATTGTATATCAGTTAACTGTAGGTCAATAATTATATAAAACTTAAGGTATGAAAAACATTTATTTTTGCTAACATATCTGTGAGTTGACTGTTCTTGGCTTGGTGAGGCTGCAAGCTGCAGATAGAGTCTAGGTATGTTTTCTGTGTGTTTGTTCCCCCTTGGATCAGTGGACTACCTGAGAATGTGTTTTTGTCACAGTGATAGAATCACAAGGAAACTCCAGTTCTGGAAGTACATTTTAAGCCATTGCTTCTCTCATGTCCACTAACATTCAGTCAGCCAAAGCACATACCTTGTCCATGGCTAACATTGATAGTATAGATAAATATACCTGATCTCTAGCAGGAGGAACTGCATTGTCTTGGGGAAAGGTTTTAGATATAGGGAGGGGTGATGAGTTGGGAACAATAATGTAGTCTGCCACAAACATATTAAAGTGTAACTGGATATGGTTGCTGCAGAATTTTGAACCTTTGTTTTAATTGTGATTTTTACTCTTTTCCCCCTATCTAGTGCCCTTTTGTAATACAGTAATTATCATGATTTTTGTCTGAACTGAAATCTTCTGAGATTAGATTGTCTACGAAAATACAGTCGATCCTCCTTGTTTTCAGCTTTTGTATTTGTGAACTCACCTACTATTTTTTGTAACCCCCAAATCAGTACTCACAGCACTTTCATAGTCATGTGTTTGCGCAGAGTGTCAAAGAATTTGAGTTTGAACAGGATGATATTCTGCCTTCTTTTTCAGCTCTCATACAATAGTCAGGTATCCTTTTTGTGGTCTATTTAATGCCATGCTTTTCCTGTTTTTGTGCTGTTTGTTGGTTGTTTTGCCATTTAAATTAACCCCCAAGCATAGTGCTGAAGTGCTGCTTAGCATTCACAAGTCCAAGAAGTCTGTGATGTGTCTTACAGAGAAAATACATGCATTAAATAAACTCCATTCAGGCGTGAGTGCTGTAGTGCCGTTGGCTGTGAGTTCAATGTTAATGAATGAACAATGTATATTATTTATTTATTCTTCATTTAATTAATTATTATTATTATTTTTTTTGAGATAGAGTCTCACTCTGTTGCTCAGGCTGGAGTGCAGTGGTGCAGTCTTGGCTCACTGCAACCTCTGCCTCCTGGGTTCAAGCGATTCCCCTGCCTTAGCCTCCCAAGTAGCTAAGACTACAGGCATGCGCCACCATGCCTGGCTAATTTTTTTTTTTTTTTTTTTTTTTGTAGTTTTAGTAGAGACGGGGTTTCACCACGTTGGCCAGGCTGGTCTCGAACTCCAGACCTCAAATGATCTGCCCGCCTTGGCTTCGCAAAGTGCTGGGATTACAGGCGTTAGCCACTGTGCCTGGCCAACAATATATATTAAATAAGCACACATACAACAAAAGTAGGTGTTGGTAAGCTTACAAAAGTGTGACCAGTAGCTTGCTGAAACCTAACTTTTTATTTGTTCATGGAACTTTCTAGACCGTAACTACACTGAATAATGAGAATCTGCTGTAATCTTTTTAGGTGCTGTAGATGAGCCATTGGATTAAATTATTACAGTATGTTTCAGACTGCTGTATGTTGAACCCTAGTGAAATGCCTCTCAAACCTTCATAAGGATCACAATCTCATGTCCTTTTTTTTTGTTATTAAATGCCCAGTATGTGTTAGCGATTTAAACAAAATTCAAATATTTTTTTTTTTTTTTGAGACAGAGTCTCGCTCTGTCACCTAAGCTGGAGAGTGCAGTGGTATGATCTCGGCTCACTACAACCTCTGCCTCCCGGGTTCAGGCGATTCTCCTGCCTCAGCATCCTGAGTAGCTGGGATTACAGGCACCCGCCACCACGCTGGGCTAATTTTTGTATTTTTAGTAGAGACGGGGTTTCGCCAGGTTGTCCAGGCTGGTCTGGAACTCCTGACCTCATGCGATCTGCCTGCCTTGGCCTCCTGAAGTGCTGGGATTATAGGCGTGAGCCACCATGCCCGGCGTTGACTTCTTAATAATAACCATACTGACTGGTGTGAGATGGTATGCCATTGTGGTTTTGATTTGCATTTCTCTAATGATCAGTGATATTGAGCTTTTTCTCATATGCTTGTTGGCCGCATGTGTGTCTTCTTTTGAAGTGTCTGTTTATGTCCTGTGCCCACTTTCTAATGAGATTTTTTTTTTTCTTGTAAATTTGTTTAAGTTCCTTATCAGTGTTGGACATTAGATCTTTGTCACATGCATTGTTGCAAAAATTTTCTCCCATTCTGTAGGTTGTCTGTTCACTCTGTTGATAGTTTCTTTTGCTGTGCAGAAGCTTCAAGAAGAAAGGAATCCGATTGGTTCTGTGTCTGTCTCTTTTGGTATTCTCAGAATTATGTAGTCATTCATATAGAAAGATGATTAGGAAAATAGGACAAGAATAGCAGAAATCTACATAAAAATGTAGGAAATTAAAATTAGTTACCAGCATACAAAAAACTTCTGTATGTTATAATTACATACTATAACTCACCCCTCCTTGGCAAATATTCTCTCTCTTTTAACTTCAAAATCATGGCTTATATGTACTTTCTCTATTTCCCAGATGCAAATATAATTAATTGACTTTATTTATCTAGGAAATGTTACTCATATCTTAATTGTAGTCATTGGCTTGAGTGACGGGTTTTGGTAATTCAACTACTATTACTTGAAAGTAGTAGATTTCATAGGATACTGTTATAAAATCTTTTTAACCTCTTTTCTGATTTCAGGAGTAATTAGTAATTGTGGTTTACTGGAAAATTCAATGAATAGGGTGTTAAAGGAAGCAATTCATTAATAATATATCTAATCTATTGGGAGACTGAGGCGGGTGGATCACCTGAGTTCAGGAGTTCGAGACCAGCCTGGCCAACATGGCAAAACTCCGTCTCTACTGAAAATAGAAAAATTCGCCGGGCATGGTGGTGCATTCCTGTATTCCCAGGTACTCGGAAGGCTGAGGCAGGAGAATCACCTGAACTCCAGAGGTGGAGGTTGCAGCGAGTCAGGATCGCAGCACTACACTGCAGCCTGGGTGACAGTGAGACTCCATCTCAAAAAAAAAAAAAAAAAAATTAAAAAATTAAATTAAAAGCGGGCTGGGCGCATTGGTTCAGGGCCGGGCACGGTGGCTCAAGCCTGTAATCCCAGCACTTTGGGAGGCCGAGGCAGGCGGATCACGAGGTCAGGAGATCAAGACCATCCTGGCTAATGTGGTGAAACCCCGTCTCTACTAACAATACAAAAATTAGCTGGATGTGGTGGCAGGTGCCTGTAATCCCAGCTATTCCAGAGGCTGAGGCAGGAGAATCACTTGAACCTGGGAGGCAGAGGTTTCAGTGAGTCCAGATCATGCCACTGCACTCCAGCCTGGGTGACAGAGCGAGATTCTATCTCAAAAAAAAAAAAAAAAAGCAACAGAAGCAAATGAGAGTGCCTGGGAGTGGTCATTGTGGGGCCTTCCCGTTTGTGTGACCCAGGTCATGTCCCTCCCTAAGCCCTGGTCTCTCTTGCCTCCTGCAGGGCTGGTGAATTACCAGATCTCCGTCAAGTGCAGTAACCAGTTCAAGTTGGAAGTGTGTCTTTTGAATGCAGAAAACAAAGTCGTGGACAACCAGGCTGGGACCCAGGGCCAGCTGAAGGTGCTGGGTGCCAACCTCTGGTGGCCGTACCTGATGCACGAACACCCCGCCTCCCTGTACTCGTGGGAGGTAATGGTGGTTTGGGACTTGCGTAAGGGAGGTCTTTTGCCCCCATCTGGTAGCCCTGGCTTCAGCAGGAGCCCAGGACAGGTGAACGGGCAGGTGTGGTCCTCTGAGCTTTCTGATGTTTCCCACCCTTGGTGGGAGGCCCAGATTTTTTATTTATTTATTTATTTATTTATTTGTTTGTTTGTTTGTTTTTGTGATGGTCTCACTCTGTCACCCAGGCTGGAATGCAATGGCCTGATCACAGCTCACTGCAGCTTTGAGCTGCAATTCTCCTACCTTGGCCTCCTGAGTAGCTGGGACTACAGGCACATGCCACCATGCCTGGCTAATTAAAAAAATTTTTTTTGTAGGCCGGGCATGGTGGCTCACACCTGTAATCCCAGCACTTCGGGAGGCTGACGCGGGCAGATCACTTTAGGCCAGGAGTTGGAGACCAGCCTGGCCAACATGGTGAAACCCCGTCTCTACTAAAATATGAAAATTTGCAGGGCATGATGGTGCACGTCTGTAATCCCAGCTACTCGGGAGGCTGAGGCAGGGGAATTGCTTGAACCCAGGAGGCAGGGGCCACGGTGAATTGAGATCATGCCGCAGCACTCTATCCTGGGTGACAGAGTGAGACTGTCTCAAAAAAAAAAACTCCTTTTTATAGAGTTGGGGTCTTACTAGGTTGCCCAGGCTGGTCTTGAACTCCTGGACTCAGGTGATCCTCCTGCCTTAGCCTCCCAAGGTGTAGGGATTCCAGGCATGAGCCACCTCGTCTGGTCAAGGAGAAGGCCTGATTTTGAAGGGCAGGTCCCAGGGTCAGCCAGTGAAGGGCAGAGCCTCTGATTGCTGCTTCTCTGCAGGCCCAGTGGCGACTTCTGGAGTGCATGCACGAGGGGTCTTCCTGCTGTAGGGCAGGCCAGATGGGGCTCAGGCTGTCGGGGCGCTCACACCTGGCGCTTTGGCTGTCGTAGGTGCGGCTGACTGCACAGAAGTCACTGGGGCCTTTGACTTCTACACACTCCCTGTGGGGCTCCGCACTGTGCCCGTCACCGAGAGCCAGTGGGTGAGAGCCAGTTTCATTTGCGGTAGAGGCAGCAGAGGTTGTAGAAATGCTCCTTGAGGCAGATGCCACACCCCAATTTCATGGAGTGATTTGGGCTGAGCCGAGTCTGCAGCAGGCAGAAGGCTCTGAGATGTTGTCCTAGCCTGGGCAAAGGACAATTCAGAGCTCGGGGGAATAGGGGTGTGCTCAGCACGACTGGGTGGACAGGCCGTTTGTTGTGAATCGTACAGGCTTCCAGGAGTGGGTGCCTGAGGCTTCCAGACAGGCTTTGGGAGGTGGCCAGAGGAGATGCCTGTTTCCGGGGCAGGAAATGGAGGGAGGGCCCAGGCTGGAGAGGTTCAGCCAGGCTGTCACAAGGCTTTGAAGCTTCCCATCTGAGAGCCTGGCTATTGGAGAGTGTGGGTTTGGAACTTGAGGCTAGGAGGTTCTATTCTGTCCTGTGCCAGCCACAGCCTTCGGATGGGCAGAGCAATGATGGGGGGAAGATGTAAAAGAAAAGAACTGAGGAAAGAAGAAGAAAACCAGCTTCAACAACGGTCTAGGCCGGATGCGGTGGGTCACGCCTGTAATCCCAGCAGTTTGGGAGGCTGAGGTGGGTGGATCACCCGAGGTCAGGAGTTCGAGACCAGCCTGGTCAACAGGTAGTGAATCCTGTCTCTACTAAAAATACAAAAATTAGCTGGGCATGGTGGTGGACGTCTGTAATCCCAGCTACCAGGTAGGCTGAGGCAGGAGAATCGCCTCAGGTGAACCAGGAGGCAGAGATTGCAATGAGCTGAGATAATGCCACTGCATTCCAGCCTGGGCTACAGAATGAGACTCTGTATCTCAACAAAACAAAACAAAACAAAAACACAACAGTCTGTTCTGTGGAGGCCTTGGGCAGATGCTGGGAGCTCTGAGCACGGACTGGTCCCTCTGTTGGGAGCCTCTTCCCTTCATCCCTCCTGGTTAACTTGACTCAGCATAAAGGCCATTTCTTCTAAGAGCCTGTCCCTGACTCTCCAATCGGGGATGTGTCTGTTGTCTCATAGAGTGCCCAATTCCTGCCACCACTTGTCATTTCCATTCGCAACATTTCTTTCATTGTTTGTTTTTCAGAGTCAGGGTCTCACTCTGTTGCCCAGGCTGGAGTGCAGTGGTGCAATCATAGCTCGTTGCCATCTCGACCTCCTGGGCTTAAGCGATCCTCCCCACTCAGCCTCCCAAATAGCTGGGACCACAGACGTGCGCTGCCTTGCCAGGCTAAATTTTAATATTTTTTTTTTCCCCACGAGTCAGAGTCTTGCTCTGTCTCCCAGGCTGGAGAGCAGTGTTGCGATCTTGGCTCACTGCATCCTCTACCTCCTGGGTACAAACAGTTCTCCTGCCTCACCCTCCCGAGTAGCTGGGATTACAGGCTCACGCCACCATGCCCAGCTAGTTTTCTTCTTTATTTTTTGTTGAGATGGGGTTTCACCATGTTGGCCAGGCTGGTCTCGAACTCTTGAGCTCGTGATCCACCTGCCTTGGCCTCCCAAAGTGCTCACAGGCTTGAGCCACCATGCCCGGCCCTAATTTTTAAATTTGTTGTAGAAACAAGGTCTTGCTATGTTGTCCAGGCTGGTCTCAAGCGCCTGGTCTCAAGTAAGCCTCCCAAAGTGCTGGGGTTCTAGGCGTGAGCCACCTCGCCTGGCACTTGCACCGTTTTTCTGTGCATGCATCTCCACTCCCACTGCCCAGGACCTGTGGACTTAGATTTGAGTCATTACTGAGCACCTAGCACCCAGCCTCATGCCTACCTCCCACCTCGCACTACCTGTTTGCTTGATGCATTAATAAATATTCCACCTGAATCCACAGCCCATTCACTCCTGTGTTCAAGAGCTATTTCAGGAAGTGAACCTCATTTCTGGCAGTGTTCAGTCCAGTGACCTCAGCTCTGTGTACCCGGCAGGGTGGCTACGCCTCTGGGGGAGTTGGATTCAGGGGTGGGGGAGAAAGAGTGTTGTTAGAGAGCTCGGTCTAGGACTAGAGGAACGTGCCCTTATGTAAAATACATCTCAAGTTAGGGAAGAAAGCAGCGGCTCTGTGCTTTGTTTTTTTTTTTTTTTTTCCTTTTTTTTCTTTCTTTTTTTTTTTTTGTTTGTTTGTTTGTTTGTTTGTTTTGGGGCAGGGTCTTGCTCTGTGGCCCAGGCTGGAGTGCAGTAGCGTGATTTCGGCTCACTGCAACCTCCACCTCCCGGGTTCAAGCAATTCTTGTGCCTCAGCCTCCCGAGTAGCTGGAGTTACAGATGCGTGCCACTATGCCTGGCTAATTTTTGTATATTTAGTAGAAATGGGGTTTTGCCATGTTGGCCAGGCGGTTCTTGAACCCCTGACCTCAGTGATCTGCCTGTCTCAGCCTCCTGAAGTGCTGGGATTACAGGCGTGAGCCATCGTGCCTGGCCCCCAGTTGTGTTCTGGCAGGGGAAGATGGGACAGAGAGGATGGGAGGGTGTCTGAGCCTTTCCCGGACTGACGGAACCTGTGTCTTCTCTCTTTTGTGGACAGGATGGTGATTGCTCACACCAAAGCCTTGGACCCCTCCCAGCCTGTGACCTTTGTGACCAACTCCACCTACGCAGCAGACAAGGGGGTGAGCCTGGGGGTCCCCACCCCATTTCTCCCTGCCTTTGCCTGGGCTTGTCCTGAAGCCTGCTCATGGGAACAGCTGGAAAGAACCATGTGCTGCCAGTCTGAGCTTTTTATTTTGTTTTACTTAGAAAGATAGAGACAGGGTCTTGCCATGTTGCCCAGGCTGGTCTCGAACTCCTGGGCTCAAGTGATCCTCCTGCCTCGGCCTTCCAAAGGGCTGGGGTTACAGGCGTGTGCCACCGCACTCAGCCGCAGCCAGTCTGTTTTCAAAGATGGTCTTTGGGTTAATGACAATTCTCTCTCTGCTTACTCTCCAGGCAGTGTGGCTTTCTGAATCCAAGGAGGCTGGGCATAGGGAGATGGGATTTGTTTGCCCGGTTTGGACTCAGCATTTTTTGTACTCGATTTAATAGACTCATAAAATGTCAAAGGTTTAAGTGAGCTTAGAGTTCATCTGGCCCAAACCTGGCTGATCAGAATCTCCAGGGGAAGTTTTATTGAAATGCCAGATCTCTGCGTTCTGAGATCCTGATTTAGTAACTCCAGGGTTGGAACCTGAGTTTTTTGTTTTTTTGTGTGTGTGTGTGAAGGCAAGGTCTTACTCTGTTGCTCTGGCTGGAGTGCAGTGGTGTGATCACAGCTCACTGCAGCCTTGAATTCCTGGGCCTAAGCAACCCTCTTGCCTCAGCCTTCCAAGTAGCTGGGACTCCGGGTGTACACCACTGTGCCCGGCTAATTTTAAATGTTTTTGTAGAGATGGGATCTCACTATGTTGCCCAGGCCAGTCTCAAACTCTTGAGCTCAAGTGATCCTCCTGCCTTAGCCTCCTAAAGTGCTGGGATTACAGGCATGAGCCACCGTGCCTGGCTGATACTAGCATTCTTTTTTATTTTTTATTATTTTTTTAAGATAGAGTCTTGCTCTGTTGCCCAGGCTGGAGTGCAGTGGCACAGTCTCAGCTCAGTGCAACCTCCGCCTCCCAGGTTCAAGCAATTCTCCTGCCTCAGCCTCCCAAGTAGCTGGGATAACAGGCACATGCCACCACGCCTGCGCTTGATCGTGGGAGGCAGAGGTTGCATTATTGTGCCACTCCATTCTAGCCTGGGCAACAGAGCGAGACTCTGTCTTCCAAACAAAGCGGAAAAAGATTATCTGCGAGAATGACTGCATTGGCCCCTTGGGTGGGAGGGCTTCTCCAGGGCAAGGTGAGGGGATGCCCAGTGCTGGGAGTGCTGCCTGGAGAGGAGTCAGTTCCAGTGGCGGGGGCCCTGGGTTTTGGCTGAGGACTGCGTGTTGGCAGCTGCTCTGCCTCTCACAGCCCTTCCCAGCTGCACACGTCGTGAGCGTCAGTGTGCAATCACAGGCCTGCCTCCTTTGGGCCACTTTGTGACCATGTTTTTTGCTTGTGGGGCAGGGTAATTTCAGGATCTAAATTGGTGCAGTTGGATGTTCTCAGCCCCGAGAGGCAGCTCTTCCCGTTGTAGGCTTTTTGTTTTGTTTTGTAGAAATGGAGTCCTACGATGTTGCCCAGGCTGGTCTCAAACTCCTGGGCTCAAGTGATCCTCCCACCTTGGCCTCCCAATGTGCTGGGATTACAGGCATGAGCCACTGTGCCGTGCTGATTTTCTTGATACTATTTTTTGTAGAGCTGGGGTCTTGCTGTGTTGCCCAGGCTGGTCTCGAACTCCTGGCCACAAGCCACCCTCCTGCCTCAGCCTCCCAGAGTGCTGGGATTACATCCCCTTCTTACCTTCTCTGTCAGAGGAGCCCCCACAGCATGTGAGTACTGAGTCATGCGGTCTTGTGGTTGCTGAACGGGCTCTGCTGCTCTGGTCCTAGGCTCTGTATGTGGATGTGATCCGTGTGAACAGCTACTACTCTTGGTATCGCAACTACGGGCACCTGGAGTTGATTCAGCTGCAGCTGGCCGCCCAGTTTGAGAATTGGTGTAAGACATCACAATCCCATTATTCAGAGCGCGTATGGAGTGGAAACGCTTGTAGGGTTTCACCAGGTAAGCGGTGTTGAACTTTCTGCTTGTGTATTCTCTCTGGGCAGAGATGCCACTTGCCTCCCCCACCATGCCATCTCTGAAGAATATTACAGACCATTTTGGAGCATGGTGAATAAGAAATTTTCACCTTAGGAGTTCACTTGAATAGTCATTTTTATATTTGTGACTGCAAGTCACTCTTAGGGGCTGTACTTCCTTAGTACTGGTAGCATTATTATCCAATGGACTTTTATAGCTTTCATTAGGTTTTCTTTTGTTTTTGTTCTTTAAAGAACGTTTTACTTATCTTAGTATTTCATTTTTCATCTATATTATGAGGCAGTAAGAGTCTTCTGTTTTTCCAAAGTTGAGACTGCTTTATATTTATTTCGTATTGTCTACAGCTGTAGTGTTCAATACATTAGCCACTAGCCACATGTGGTTATTTAAATAAGATAAAATAAAAATTGGCCGGGCGTGGTGGGTCACGCCAGTAATCCCAGCACTTTGGGAGGCCGAGGCGGGCAGATCATTAGGTCAGGAGATCGAGACCATCCTTACTAAGACGGTGAACCCCCATCTCTATTAAAAATACAAAAAATTAGCCGGGCGTGGTGGCGGGCGCCTGCAGTCCCAGCTACTCAGGAGGCTGAGGCAGGAGAATGGCGTGAACCTGGGAGGCAGAGTTTGCAGTGAGCCGAGATGGCGCCACTGCACTCCAGCCTGGGGGACAGAGCGAGACTCCATCTCAAAAAAAAAAAGAAAATTAAAAATTAAGTTCTTTAGTTGCACTAGCCATATTTCAAATACTTGATGGATACATGTGGCTAGTGGCTAACATAAGGGATAGCACAGATATAAAACATTTCCTCGTCATATAAAGTTCTATTGGATAGTGCTGGTCTGTAGCTTATAGGATGGTATCTTAGTCTGCTTCAGCTGCTAAAACAGAATACCATAAATTAGGTAGCTTAAACAGTAGATATTTTGACCAGGCGTGGTGGCTTATGCCTGTATTCCTAACACTTTGGGAGGCCGAGGCAGGTGGATAACTTGAGCTCAGGAGTTTGAGACTAGCCTGGGCAGCATGGCAAAACCTTGTCTCTACGAAAATTAGCTGGGCGTGGTGGTGCACGCCTGTAGTCTGAGCTACTTGGGAGGCTGAGGTGGGAGAATTGCTTGAACCTGGGAGGCGGAGGTTGCAGTGAGCCATGATCGCACCACTGTACTCCAGCCTGGATGACAGAATGAGACTCTGTCTCAAAAAAAACAAAAACAAACAAACAAAAAAACAGATATTTCTCACAGTTCTGGAGACTGGAAGTGCAAGATCAAAGTGTTGGCAAATTGTGTTTCTTAAAGAGGGCCTGCTTCCTAGATTGGAAATGGCCATCTTCTCTCGGTATCCTCACATGGTAGGGAGAAAAGCAGCTCTAGTGTCTCTTCTTATAAAGGAAGTAATGCCACCATAGGGGCTCTATTCTCATGACCTCATCTAAACCTAATTCTCTCCTAAAGGCCACGCCTCCCAGTATCCTCACCTTGGGGGTTAGGGCTTTATCATATGAATTTTTTTTTTTTTTTTTTTTGAGACAGAGTCTCGCTCTGTCTGTCACCCAGGCTGGAGTGCAGTGGCACAATCTCGGCTCTCTACAAGCTCCGCCTCCTGGGTTCACGCCGTTCTCCTGCGTCAGCCTCCTCAGTAGCTGGGACTAAGGCGCCCGCCACTGCGCCCGGCTAATTTTTTGTATTTTCAGTAGAGACGGGGTTTTACCATGTTAGCCAGGATGATCTCGATCTCCTGACCTCATGATCCACCCGCCTCGGCCTCCCAAAGTGCTGGGATTACAGGCATGAGCCACCGCGCCCGGCCTATCATATGAATTTTGAGGGAACACAAACATGCAGTCTGTAGCAGATGGTAATAGGCTGACATATTACACTTGTTGATGTAAATCTGATAGGTTTCTTTCTCTCCAAGGACAGCTTTTTAAATATTTAACAGTATCAATAATTTTTCAGGTTCTGTGAGAATTTTATAATTTATAATTTGCAGACTTAACGTATAATCTATTTTGTCCTAACAATTACAAATATATTTTTTATTTCAGATTGTATATATTCCTACCAGATGGAGATAATTACAGCTTTAAAAATTTTTATTTTTTCATTTTATTTCACACATTGACATTAAATTTTTATGGACACATAATAACTGTACATATATATGGGGTAGAATGTGATGTTTTAATACATGTACTCAATGTGTAATGATCAAATCAGGGTAATTTGCATAATGATTTTTCTGTAGGGAGAAAATTCAAAATCTACTCTTCTGGCTATTTTCAAATATATAATATGTTATTGTTAACTATACTCATCCTACTATGCAATAGGACACCAGAACTTATTCCTGGGTTCTACATCCGTTAAGGCAACCAAGGATTGGAAATATTGGAAAAAAAAATTGCGTCTGTACTGAACATGTACAGACTTTTTTCTTGTCCTTATTCCTTACACAATATAGTACAATAACTATTTGCATGACATTTACATCGGATATTATGAGTGATCTAGAGTTGATATGAAGTATATGGGAGGATGTGCAAAGGTGATGTGCAAATACTATGTCATTTTATATCAGGGACTTGAGTATCCTTTGTTACCCTCAGGAGATCCTGAAACCAGTCCCCCATGGATACTGAGGGCTGACTGTATAGTCCTATCCTCACGGAACTTTCATTCTAATGGGGGAAGACTGACTATAAACAAAATATATGTAATAGGTGGTGGTAAGTACCGTGGAGAAGTAACAAATGGGGCAAAGTGAGTTATACAGCTCCATTCTTAGAAACCTTGGAGTACTTTTCTTAGTTTATACTCGTGGTGGTTTCCTTTTGTCTCCTTTATTACATGGGACTCTGACATGTGCCCATAGCTAGGGTGACAGTAGGATCTACCCGATAGTAGGGTGGCAGTAGGATCTACCCAAAAAGCGTCCTGCTGATACAGGACCAAAGCATCCTGTTGTTCTCGAGCCTATAAAAAGAGCTAATGGTGTTGCTTCTCTTAACTGTGGCCTCCTACACTGTGTTTTGGATGATTGGTGATGTCTTGGATATTCTGTTTCTTTGGAACTTTGAATATACAACACTTTACTAGGGAATTAGCAATGGAAGCAGAGCAAAGATGTACAGAGGAAACAATGCGTAACTCTGATGGAATTGAAGTCATGAGGCAGCAGAGAGCTTAAATTACAGCTTTAAAAATTTTTATTTTTTAGAGGGAATTTACTTGGGAGTAACAGCAGTAATAGTTAACGGAGCCAGAATGCTTGAGTCATATAATTGCAAAGCAGAGTTGGGAGCAACAGATGCTAAAGAGTAGTTGCTGTAGTTCCTCTTTGGGTCGTAGGAGCAGTTGTCATATTACTATATAGCTACTGCATGAAGAAGAGTTCTTAGTGAGGCCTGGGTGAACAGCTCTTCTTAGTATTCTGTGTGACCCCATTTGACCTTTTAACAAATCCCTAAGTAAATAAATAGCCCCTCAGGAAAACTAAGTTTTTCTCTGCTGTTTTTTTGCTTGAGAGAGCTATAACTGTAATAGACTTATATTTCTGAACATTTTAGTGCTTGCCAATATTTGGTAATATTTATGTTTCCTATATTTGTAATGAACATTCTTCTTCCGGTACATTTTTTGTTAAATTATTGTTTGATGGATAAAAGTTCACCTTTTATTGTATAAAATTGACTGAGATTAATTTATACACATTGACAATGGGTAAATAGAATTTTTCAGATTATTAAAAGCTGAAGGATGCCCACGTAAGCAAAAAAAAAAAAGAAAAAACCAACAAAAATAAACCCAAACCCCTCAAACAATTTCGAACACGAAACATTCTTCTGATGCCGGCATCCCTGCTTGCAGGTGTGAAGGGGGCAGGAATCAGCGAGGTGTCCTGGGCTGAGTCCCCGGAGTGGGAAGAGGTGGCAGGAAGGGGATCTGAGGAGGAGAACAGGGGTCCTGGTGGTCTGTGCTTCTTCCCAGACACGGGAGCTGTAGAGGAGACCTCTGCAGCAGATGCTAGGGGGGCCAGTAGGCCCAGGCAGTCTTGGGACTTGGGTCTGTCCTGCTGTGCATCCATAGTGGGTGCTTTAGAAACGGGAGGCCCACCCGAAGCCCCTGTTGCAAGTGAGGACAAAGTGTGGGAAGGCCGTGAGGGTCTGCAGTCCGAGATGGCCTTGTCCTCAACGTGCAGTGCACTGTTGATGCGGGGCCTAGAGGCCTGGGATCTGGGGGAGCCACCCCTGGGGGCGAGTGTCTGCCCTGGTGCTGTACCTGCCTTGTTTTCACAGCGGTGACCCGAAGAGACAGCCTGAGGTCCGTCCTCACTCACTGTGTTTGAGGAACTGTGGGCCAGCTGGCAGTGGGATGAGGCTGGCCCCCTCCTCCGCTTTAGTTCCTGGAGGCCTTCCGTAGAGCTGTGGGAGCTGGAGCTGGCATTTCGTTTGAGGCAGGATCTGGTCCGGGAGGTCTGGGATCTCTGGTTATATCTCACTTCTGACCTCTGGGCACGTGCTGCAGCTGTGGCTGAGGCCAAGAAATGTGAGGGGCCTCCATCCACTGCATTGAGTAGCGACCCCGACGTGGGGTTCAATGTGGAGGGGGGAAGGGCTGCTGCGGCAGCTGCAGGAGCCGAGGTGCCAGGCCTTGTTCTTCTCATGCCGGCATCCCTGCTTGCAGCTGTGAAGGTGGCAGGAATCAGCGAGGTGACCTGGGCTGAGTCCCGGGAGTGGGAAGAGTTGGCAGGAAGGGGATCTGAGGAGGAGAACAGGGGTCCTGGTGGTCTGTGCTTCTTCCCAGACACGGGAGCTGTAGAGGGGACCTCTGCAGCAGATGCTAGGGGGGCCACTAGGCCCAGGCAGTCTTGGGACTTGGGTCTGTCCTGCTGTGCGTCCATAGTGGGTGCTTTAGAAACGGGAGGCCCACCCGAAGCCCCTGTTGCAAGTGAGGACAAAGTGTGGGAAGGCCGTGAGGGTCTGCAGTCCGAGATGGCCTTGTCCTCAACGTACAGTGCACTGTTGATGTGGGGCCTAGAGGCCTGGGATCTGGGGGAGCCTCCCCTGGGGGCGAGTGTCTGCCCTGGTGCTGTACCTGCCTTGTTTTCACAGCGGTGACCCGAAGAGACAGCCTGAGGTCCGTCCTCACTCACTGTGTTTGAGGAACTGTGGGCCAGCTGGCAGTGGGATGAGGCTGGCCCCCTCCTCCGCTTTAGTTCCTGGAGGCCTTCCGTAGAGCTGTGGGAGCTGGAGCTGGAGCTGGCATTTCGTTTGAGGCAGGATCTGGTCCGGGAGGTCTGGGATCTCTGGTTATATCTCACTTCTGACCTCTGGGCACGTGCTGCAGCTGTGGCTGAGGCCAAGAAATGTGAGGGGCCTCCATCCACTGCATTGAGTAGTGACCCCGACGTGTTGTTCAATGTGGAGGGGGGAGGGGCTGCTGTGGCAGCTGCAGGAGCCGACCTTGTTCTTCTCATGCCGGCATCCCTGCTTGCAGCTGTGAAGGTGGCAGGAATCAGCGAGGTGACCTGTGCTGTGTCCCGGGAGTGGTAAGAGGTGGCAGGAAGGGGATCTGAGGAGGAGAACAGGGGTCCTGGTGGTCTGTGCTTCTTCCCAGACACGGGAGCTGTAGAGGGGACCTCTGCAGCAGATGCTAGGGGGGCCAGTAGGCCCAGGGAGTCTTGGGACTTGGGTCTGTCCTGCTGTGCATCCATAGT
Source organism: Homo sapiens (assembly GCF_000001405.40). Taxonomy (NCBI): domain Eukaryota; kingdom Metazoa; phylum Chordata; class Mammalia; order Primates; family Hominidae; genus Homo; species Homo sapiens. The sequence goes on from NT_187651.1 coordinate 126,573, forward strand.
GGGTGCTTTAGAAACGGGAGGCCCACCCGAAGCCCCTGTTGCAAGTGAGGACAAAGTGTGGGAAGGCCGTGAGGGTCTGCAGTCCGAGATGGCCTTGTCCTCAACGTGCAGTGCAGTGTTGATGTGGGGCCTAGAGGCCTGGGATCTGGGGGAGCCACCCCTGGGGGCAAGTGTCTGCCCTGGTGCTGTACCTGCCTTGTTTTCACAGCGGTGACCCGAAGAGACAGCCTGAGGTCCGTCCTCACTCACTGTGTTTGAGGAACTGAGGGCCAGCTGGCAGTGGGATGAGGCTGGCCCCCTCCTCCGCTTTACTTCCTGGAGGCCTTCCGTAGAGCTGTGGGAGCTGGAGCTGGCATTTCGTTTGAGGCAGGATCTGGTCCGGGAGGTCTGGGATCTCTGGTTATATCTCACTTCTGACCTCTGGGCACGTGCTGCAGCTGTGGCTGAGGCCAAGAAATGTGAGGGGCCTCCATCCACTGCATTGAGTAGTGACCCCGACGTGGGGTTCAATGTGGAGGGGGGAGGGGCTGCTGCGGCAGCTGCAGGAGCCGACCTTGTTCTTCTCATGCCGGCATCCCTGCTTGCAGCTGTGAAGGGGGCAGGAATCATCGAGGTGACCTGGGCTGAGTCCCGGGAGTGGGAAGAGTTGGCAGGAAGGGGATCTGAGGAGGAGAACAGGGGTCCTGGTGGTCTGTGCTTCTTCCCAGACACGGGAGCTGTAGCGGGGACCTCTGCAGCAGATGCTAGGGGGGCCACTAGGCCCAGGCAGTCTTGGGACTTGGGTCTGTCCTGCTGTGCATCCATAGTGGGTGCTTTAGAAACGGGAGGCCCACCCGAAGCCCCTGTTGCAAGTGAGGACAAAGTGTGGGAAGGCCGTGAGGGTCTGCAGTCCGGGATGGCCTTGTCCTCAACGTGCAGTGCACTGTTGATGCGCTGGAATGCCGTCTCTTTTTCCAGGTGCAGGTCTTCAGCCGTGACCCGGTACCCCAGCTCTAAGGGAGGTGGCAGCATCAAAGGCTCCCCTCGCCTGCGTGGCAGCAGGGGAATCTTGCGTCTACGGGGCCTAGAGTCCTGGGATCTGGGGGAGCCACCCGTTGGGGCGATTGTCTGCCCTGGTGCTGTATCTGCCCCCTTTTCACACCGTGTGTGACCCAAAGAGACAGCCTGAGGCCTGTCCTCACTCACTGTCTTTGAGTAACTGAGGGTCAGCTGGCAGCGGGATGAGGCTGGCCCCCTCCTCTGCTTTAGCCCCGGCAAGCCTCCCGTGGAGCTGTAGGAGCTGGAGATGGCATTTCGTTTGGTGCTCGAGCTCGTCCAGGATGTCTGGGATGTGTGGTTATATCTGATTTCTGAGCTCTGGGCGTGGAGGTCTGTCTGCAGAGGCCCGGGCCTGGGCACAAAGGGAGAGGGGCCTCCATTGTCCCGCAGGGGCCAAAATGCAGACCGTGCATCCCCGGTGACCTCGGGGACCGTTCTCTGATCATCAGGATTTTCTTGGACTCTGGGGTCCTTGTGCTGCTCAGGCATCCCTGCCCCGCTCTCCTTGAGGGCCCTCAACACTATCTTCCCTGGACACAAGTCTGGGGACAGCCGGGTGTTGTGGACCCCAAAGGGGTGACTACCTGCTCCTGGGCCCCACAGAGTCCTTGTGCTCAGTGTAGTGGCTGAGCTGGGGGATGCCCTGGAACTCGGAGCACACAGCACTGGCTTACTGTGGTACCTGTGCAGTGAAATTGAAGATAGAATCACCAGGATGGAACACAGGTCTTGCAGGATCACGGAAAACCTTCTTAGAGTTGTCTTGACACCACTGATGTCGAGTGTGCGGGTGTTTGTAGGATGGCCTGCCACTCAGTCCAGGGGCAGGAGCAACGGGGAGATCCCACAAGCAAAGTGAACTGGGGGATGGGCTGAAGGGGCTCCAGGCAACTGAGCCCTACTCGCAGGTCCTCGGCCTTGGCCCAAACAGGAATGAGGGGCACAGAGTGCCCGGGTAACCGCTCCTGGGAGCAGTGGGGAACTGTCGGATACTTGAACTCTCAAGAGCTGGGCTCTGAGCGTCCTCATCCAGCTGCCAACTTGGCCAAAGGCTAAGCCAGCAGATTGTTCTGTTGCCGGGCAACGCGACTTCTAAACCTGAGGGAGTGGGCATGTGAGCACATAATGGCACCAGTGACAGAGCGACCATAATGGATGAATAAGCACAGCCAGGTACCCGCGCAAGGCACCTGCTGGCAATGGCAGGAGGCGGACGTGGGGGGTCGTGCAGTAGGTACTGGAGGGAGAGACGTGGGCACAAAGGTCGCGGGAGGAACAGGTGCCCACAATGGCTGCATATTTGCCCGTGGATCACTGAAGATTCCTGCTCTCCTGCTGAGGTGGAGACTGCAGTGAGCTGAGATCGCACCATTGCACTCCAGCCTGGGCAACGAGTGCAAAACTCAGTCTCCAGATAAAAAAAAGAAAAAGAAAAAAAAGAGGCCGGGTGTGGTGGCTTATGCCTATGATCCTAGCACTTTGGGAGGTCGGGGTGGACGGATCACGAGATCAGGAGTTGGAGGCCAGCCTGGCCAACATAGTGAAAGCCCGTCTCTAGTAAAAATACAAAATTTAGTCAGACATGGTGGGCAGGAGAGAGCATGTGCAGGGGAACATCCATTTATAAAACCATCAGACCTCATGAGACTTATTCACTACCATGAGAACAGCATGGGGGAAACTGCCTCCATGATTCAGTTATCTCCACCTGGCCCCACCCTTGACACATGGGAATTGTTACAATTCAAGATGAGATTTGGGTGCGGACAGAGCCAAACCATATAATTCTTCCCCGGCCCCTCCCAAATCTCATGTCCTCATATTTCAAAAGCAATCGTGCCTTCCCCTAAGTCCCCCAAACTCTTATTTCAGCATTAACTCAAAATTCCATAGTCCAAAGTCTCATCTGAGACAAGGCAAGTCCCTTCCACCTATGAGCCTGTAAAATCAAAAGCAAGTTAGTTATTTTCTAGATACACAGGGATACAGGCATTGGGTAAATACACTCGTTTCAAATGGGAGAAATTGGCCAAAGCAAAAGAGCTACAGGCCCCATGCAAGTCCAAAACCCAGCAGGCAAATCTTAAAGCTCCAAAATGACCTCCTTTGACTCCATGTGTCACATCTAGGTGATGCAAGAAGTGGGTTCCCAGGGTCTTGGGCAGCCCCGCCCCTGTGGCTTTGCAGGGTACAGCCCCCCTTCTGGCTGCATTGAGTGTCTGCAGCTTTTCCAGGCACACAGTGCAAGCTGTCAGTGGATCTACCATTCTGGGGTCTGGAGGATGGTGGCCCTTTTCTCACAGCTCTGCTTGGCAGTACCCCAGTGGGGACTCTGTGTGGGAGCTCCAACCCCATATTTCCCTTTGACACTGCCCTAGCAGAGGTTATCCATGAGGGCCCCCCCCTCCCCTCCCCCCCACAGCAAACTTTTGCCTGGATTTCCAGGCATTTTCATACATCTTCTGAAATGTAGGCGGAGGTTCATGAACGTTAATTCTTGACTTTGGTGCATCTGCAGGCTTAACACCACCTAGAACCTGAAAGGCTTGGAACTTGCACCCTCTGAAGCCATGGCCTGAGGTGTACCTTGGCCCCTTTTACCTATGGCAGGAGCAGCTGGGATGCAGGGCCCCAAGTTCCTAGGCTGCACACAGCAGGGGGTTCTGGACCCACAAAACCATTTTTCCTTCTAAGCCTCCTGGCCTGTGATGGGAGGGTCTGCTGTGAGGGTCTCTAACATGCCCTGGAGACATTTGCCCCATTGTCTTGGTGATTAACATTTGGCTCCTCATTACTTATGCAAATTTCTACAACCCAGTCTCCTGAGAAAATAGATTTTTCTTTTCTGTTGCATCATCAGGCTACAAATTTTCTGAACTTTTATGCTCTGCTTCTTCTCGAATGCTTTGCTGCTTAGAAATTTCTTCTGTCAGATACCTTAAATCATCTCTCTCAAGTTCAAAGTTCCACAGATCTGTAGGGAACTCTAGAAAGAAATTCTTATTTTCCCTCTTTCCCGCCTATCTTATGCCCGTTTCTAATACAGGTGCACAATGCCTGCAGTGTCTTTGCATAGTAAGAGTGACTTTACTCCATTTCCCAACAAATTCCTCATCTCCCTCTGAGACCACCTCCGCCTGGACCTTGTTGTCCATATCACTATTAACATTTTGGTCAAAGCCATTCAACAAGTCTCTAGGAAGTTCCAAACTTTCCCACATTTTCCTATCCTCTTCTGAGCCTTCCAAACTGTTCCAGCCTCTCCCTGTTACCCATTTCCAAAGTTGCTTCCACATTTTCGGGTATCTTTACAGCAGCACCCCACTCTACTGGTATCAACTTATTGTATTAGTCTGTTCTCACACCGCAAATAAAGACATACCTGAGACTGGGTAATTTATAAAGGAAAGAGGTTGAATTGACTCACAGTTCTGCATGGCTGGGGAGGCCTCACAATCATGGTGGAAGGCAAGGAGGTGCAAAAGCATGTCTCACATAGTGGCAGGCAGGAGAGAGCATGTGCAGGGGAGCTCCCATTTATAAAACCATCAGATCTCATGAGACTTAGTCACTACCGCGAGAACAGTATGGGGGGAACCATCCCCATGATTCAGTTATCTGCACCCGGCCCCACCCTTGACACGTGGGAATTATTACAATGCAAGGTGAGATTTGGGTGGGGACCCATCCAAACTATGTCAGTATGTTTTGACTTCTTGCTTGATTGCTAGGTTGCATAGAGGACAAACATGGAAATTAATGAAGTACCTTAATATCTGGCTTCAGATCTTAGACAGGATCAGAGGGCCAGCTCAAATTTGCAAGGAGGGGAGGTAGATCCCACCATTTTATGGGTGAATGGCAAAATCAAACAGAAATTATGTGGGATGGGAGATACTGATGCAGCCATCTTTGGAAACATTCTACTTAGCTAATTTTATGCTAGGCTTTAGGTCAAGAAGGAGAGAGAGAGCTGACATGCTGTGGTACACACTTATAGTCCCAGCGACTTGGAAAGCTGAGGCAGGAGGATTGCTTGATCCCAGGAGTTTGAGGTAGTGTGCGATGATCGTTCTTGTGAATAGCCACTAGCCACTGAACTCCAGCTTGGGCAACATTGAGACACCCTGTCTCTTAATTTAAAAAAAAAAAAAAAAAAAGGAAAGAAAGTGGTCTCAGTTTTTAATGTAAGTATTTTTAATGGGATAATGATATTTTAAGATTAATGTATATTGTATATCAGTTAACTGTAGGTCAATAATTATATAAAACTTAAGGTATGAAAAACATTTATTTTTGCTAACATATCTGTGAGTTGACTGTTCTTGGCTTGGTGAGGCTGCAAGCTGCAGATAGAGTCTAGGTATGTTTTCTGTGTGTTTGTTCCCCCTTGGATCAGTGGACTACCTGAGAATGTGTTTTTGTCACAGTGATAGAATCACAAGGAAACTCCAGTTCTGGAAGTACATTTTAAGCCATTGCTTCTCTCATGTCCACTAACATTCAGTCAGCCAAAGCACATACCTTGTCCATGGCTAACATTGATAGTATAGATAAATATACCTGATCTCTAGCAGGAGGAACTGCATTGTCTTGGGGAAAGGTTTTAGATATAGGGAGGGGTGATGAGTTGGGAACAATAATGTAGTCTGCCACAAACATATTAAAGTGTAACTGGATATGGTTGCTGCAGAATTTTGAACCTTTGTTTTAATTGTGATTTTTACTCTTTTCCCCCTATCTAGTGCCCTTTTGTAATACAGTAATTATCATGATTTTTGTCTGAACTGAAATCTTCTGAGATTAGATTGTCTACGAAAATACAGTCGATCCTCCTTGTTTTCAGCTTTTGTATTTGTGAACTCACCTACTATTTTTTGTAACCCCCAAATCAGTACTCACAGCACTTTCATAGTCATGTGTTTGCGCAGAGTGTCAAAGAATTTGAGTTTGAACAGGATGATATTCTGCCTTCTTTTTCAGCTCTCATACAATAGTCAGGTATCCTTTTTGTGGTCTATTTAATGCCATGCTTTTCCTGTTTTTGTGCTGTTTGTTGGTTGTTTTGCCATTTAAATTAACCCCCAAGCATAGTGCTGAAGTGCTGCTTAGCATTCACAAGTCCAAGAAGTCTGTGATGTGTCTTACAGAGAAAATACATGCATTAAATAAACTCCATTCAGGCGTGAGTGCTGTAGTGCCGTTGGCTGTGAGTTCAATGTTAATGAATGAACAATGTATATTATTTATTTATTCTTCATTTAATTAATTATTATTATTATTTTTTTTGAGATAGAGTCTCACTCTGTTGCTCAGGCTGGAGTGCAGTGGTGCAGTCTTGGCTCACTGCAACCTCTGCCTCCTGGGTTCAAGCGATTCCCCTGCCTTAGCCTCCCAAGTAGCTAAGACTACAGGCATGCGCCACCATGCCTGGCTAATTTTTTTTTTTTTTTTTTTTTTTGTAGTTTTAGTAGAGACGGGGTTTCACCACGTTGGCCAGGCTGGTCTCGAACTCCAGACCTCAAATGATCTGCCCGCCTTGGCTTCGCAAAGTGCTGGGATTACAGGCGTTAGCCACTGTGCCTGGCCAACAATATATATTAAATAAGCACACATACAACAAAAGTAGGTGTTGGTAAGCTTACAAAAGTGTGACCAGTAGCTTGCTGAAACCTAACTTTTTATTTGTTCATGGAACTTTCTAGACCGTAACTACACTGAATAATGAGAATCTGCTGTAATCTTTTTAGGTGCTGTAGATGAGCCATTGGATTAAATTATTACAGTATGTTTCAGACTGCTGTATGTTGAACCCTAGTGAAATGCCTCTCAAACCTTCATAAGGATCACAATCTCATGTCCTTTTTTTTTGTTATTAAATGCCCAGTATGTGTTAGCGATTTAAACAAAATTCAAATATTTTTTTTTTTTTTTGAGACAGAGTCTCGCTCTGTCACCTAAGCTGGAGAGTGCAGTGGTATGATCTCGGCTCACTACAACCTCTGCCTCCCGGGTTCAGGCGATTCTCCTGCCTCAGCATCCTGAGTAGCTGGGATTACAGGCACCCGCCACCACGCTGGGCTAATTTTTGTATTTTTAGTAGAGACGGGGTTTCGCCAGGTTGTCCAGGCTGGTCTGGAACTCCTGACCTCATGCGATCTGCCTGCCTTGGCCTCCTGAAGTGCTGGGATTATAGGCGTGAGCCACCATGCCCGGCGTTGACTTCTTAATAATAACCATACTGACTGGTGTGAGATGGTATGCCATTGTGGTTTTGATTTGCATTTCTCTAATGATCAGTGATATTGAGCTTTTTCTCATATGCTTGTTGGCCGCATGTGTGTCTTCTTTTGAAGTGTCTGTTTATGTCCTGTGCCCACTTTCTAATGAGATTTTTTTTTTTCTTGTAAATTTGTTTAAGTTCCTTATCAGTGTTGGACATTAGATCTTTGTCACATGCATTGTTGCAAAAATTTTCTCCCATTCTGTAGGTTGTCTGTTCACTCTGTTGATAGTTTCTTTTGCTGTGCAGAAGCTTCAAGAAGAAAGGAATCCGATTGGTTCTGTGTCTGTCTCTTTTGGTATTCTCAGAATTATGTAGTCATTCATATAGAAAGATGATTAGGAAAATAGGACAAGAATAGCAGAAATCTACATAAAAATGTAGGAAATTAAAATTAGTTACCAGCATACAAAAAACTTCTGTATGTTATAATTACATACTATAACTCACCCCTCCTTGGCAAATATTCTCTCTCTTTTAACTTCAAAATCATGGCTTATATGTACTTTCTCTATTTCCCAGATGCAAATATAATTAATTGACTTTATTTATCTAGGAAATGTTACTCATATCTTAATTGTAGTCATTGGCTTGAGTGACGGGTTTTGGTAATTCAACTACTATTACTTGAAAGTAGTAGATTTCATAGGATACTGTTATAAAATCTTTTTAACCTCTTTTCTGATTTCAGGAGTAATTAGTAATTGTGGTTTACTGGAAAATTCAATGAATAGGGTGTTAAAGGAAGCAATTCATTAATAATATATCTAATCTATTGGGAGACTGAGGCGGGTGGATCACCTGAGTTCAGGAGTTCGAGACCAGCCTGGCCAACATGGCAAAACTCCGTCTCTACTGAAAATAGAAAAATTCGCCGGGCATGGTGGTGCATTCCTGTATTCCCAGGTACTCGGAAGGCTGAGGCAGGAGAATCACCTGAACTCCAGAGGTGGAGGTTGCAGCGAGTCAGGATCGCAGCACTACACTGCAGCCTGGGTGACAGTGAGACTCCATCTCAAAAAAAAAAAAAAAAAAATTAAAAAATTAAATTAAAAGCGGGCTGGGCGCATTGGTTCAGGGCCGGGCACGGTGGCTCAAGCCTGTAATCCCAGCACTTTGGGAGGCCGAGGCAGGCGGATCACGAGGTCAGGAGATCAAGACCATCCTGGCTAATGTGGTGAAACCCCGTCTCTACTAACAATACAAAAATTAGCTGGATGTGGTGGCAGGTGCCTGTAATCCCAGCTATTCCAGAGGCTGAGGCAGGAGAATCACTTGAACCTGGGAGGCAGAGGTTTCAGTGAGTCCAGATCATGCCACTGCACTCCAGCCTGGGTGACAGAGCGAGATTCTATCTCAAAAAAAAAAAAAAAAAGCAACAGAAGCAAATGAGAGTGCCTGGGAGTGGTCATTGTGGGGCCTTCCCGTTTGTGTGACCCAGGTCATGTCCCTCCCTAAGCCCTGGTCTCTCTTGCCTCCTGCAGGGCTGGTGAATTACCAGATCTCCGTCAAGTGCAGTAACCAGTTCAAGTTGGAAGTGTGTCTTTTGAATGCAGAAAACAAAGTCGTGGACAACCAGGCTGGGACCCAGGGCCAGCTGAAGGTGCTGGGTGCCAACCTCTGGTGGCCGTACCTGATGCACGAACACCCCGCCTACCTGTACTCGTGGGAGGTAATGGTGGTTTGGGACTTGCGTAAGGGAGGTCTTTTGCCCCCATCTGGTAGCCCTGGCTTCAGCAGGAGCCCAGGACAGGTGAACGGGCAGGTGTGGTCCTCTGAGCTTTCTGATGTTTCCCACCCTTGGTGGGAGGCCCAGATTTTTTATTTATTTATTTATTTATTTATTTATTTGTTTGTTTGTTTGTTTGTTTGTTTGTTTTTGTGATGGTCTCACTCTGTCACCCAGGCTGTAATGCAATGGCCTGATCACAGCTCACTGCAGCTTTGAGCTGCAATCCTCCTACCTTGGCCTCCTGAGTAGCTGGGACTACAGGCACATGCCACCATGCCTGGCTAATTAAAAAAATTTTTTTTGTAGGCCGGGCATGGTGGCTCACACCTGTAATCCCAGCACTTCGGGAGGCTGACGCGGGCAGATCACTTTAGGCCAGGAGTTGGAGACCAGCCTGGCCAACATGGTGAAACCCCGTCTCTACTAAAATATGAAAATTTGCAGGGCATGATGGTGCACGTCTGTAATCCCAGCTACTCGGGAGGCTGAGGCAGGGGAATTGCTTGAACCCAGGAGGCAGGGGCCGCGGTGAATTGAGATCATGCCGCAGCACTCTATCCTGGGTGACAGAGTGAGACTGTCACAAAAAAAAAAAACTCCTTTTTATAGAGTTGGGGTCTTACTAGGTTGCCCAGGCTGGTCTTGAACTCCTGGACTCAGGTGATCCTCCTGCCTTAGCCTCCCAAGGTGTAGGGATTCCAGGCATGAGCCACCTCGTCTGGTCAAGGAGAAGGCCTGATTTTGAAGGGCAGGTCCCAGGGTCAGCCAGTGAAGGGCAGAGCCTCTGATTGCTGCTTCTCTGCAGGCCCAGTGGCGACTTCTGGGGTGCATGCACGAGGGGTCTTCCTGCTGTAGGGCAGGCCAGATGGGGCTCAGGCTGTCGGGGCGCTCACACCTGGCGCTTTGGCTGTCGTAGGTGCGGCTGACTGCACAGAAGTCACTGGGGCCTTTGACTTCTACACACTCCCTGTGGGGCTCCGCACTGTGCCCGTCACCGAGAGCCAGTGGGTGAGAGCCAGTTTCATTTGCGGTAGAGGCAGCAGAGGTTGTAGAAATGCTCCTTGAGGCAGATGCCACACCCCAATTTCATGGAGTGATTTGGGCTGAGCCGAGTCTGCAGCAGGCAGAAGGCTCTGAGATGTTGTCCTAGCCTGGGCAAAGGACAATTCAGAGCTCGGGGGAATAGGGGTGTGCTCAGCACGACTGGGTGGACAGGCCGTTTGTTGTGAATCGTACAGGCTTCCAGGAGCGGGTGCCTGAGGCTTCCAGACAGGCTTTGGGAGGTGGCCAGAGGAGATGCCTGTTTCCGGGGCAGGAAATGGAGGGAGGGCCCAGGCTGGAGAGGTTCAGCCAGGCTGTCACAAGGCTTTGAAGCTTCCCATCTGAGAGCCTGGCTATTGGAGAGTGTGGGTTTGGAACTTGAGGCTAGGAGGTTCTATTCTGTCCTGTGCCAGCCACAGCCTTCGGATGGGCAGAGCAATGATGGGGGGAAGATGTAAAAGAAAAGAACTGAGGAAAGAAGAAGAAAACCAGCTTCAACAACGGTCTAGGCCGGATGCGGTGGGTCACGCCTGTAATCCCAGCAGTTTGGGAGGCTGAGGTGGGTGGATCACCCGAGGTCAGGAGTTCGAGACCAGCCTGGTCAACAGGTAGTGAATCCTGTCTCTACTAAAAATACAAAAATTAGCTGGGCATGGTGGTGGACGTCTGTAATCCCAGCTACCAGGTAGGCTGAGGCAGGAGAATCGCCTCAGGTGAACCAGGAGGCAGAGATTGCAATGAGCTGAGATAATGCCACTGCATTCCAGCCTGGGCTACAGAATGAGACTCTGTATCTCAACAAAACAAAACAAAACAAAAACACAACAGTCTGTTCTGTGGAGGCCTTGGGCAGATGCTGGGAGCTCTGAGCGCGGACTGGTCCCTCTGTTGGGAGCCTCTTCCCTTCATCCCTCCTGGTTAACTTGACTCAGCATAAAGGCCATTTCTTCTAAGAGCCTGTCCCTGACTCTCCAATCGGGGATGTGTCTGTTGTCTCATAGAGTGCCCAATTCCTGCCACCACTTGTCATTTCCATTCGCAACATTTCTTTCATTGTTTGTTTTTCAGAGTCAGGGTCTCACTCTGTTGCCCAGGCTGGAGTGCAGTGGTGCAATCATAGCTCGTTGCCATCTCGACCTCCTGGGCTTAAGCGATCCTCCCCACTCAGCCTCCCAAATAGCTGGGACCACAGACGTGCGCTGCCTTGCCAGGCTAAATTTTAATATTTTTTTTTTCCCCACGAGTCAGAGTCTTGCTCTGTCTCCCAGGCTGGAGAGCAGTGTTGCGATCTTGGCTCACTGCATCCTCTACCTCCTGGGTACAAACAGTTCTCCTGCCTCACCCTCCCGAGTAGCTGGGATTACAGGCTCACGCCACCATGCCCAGCTAGTTTTCTTCTTTATTTTTTGTTGAGATGGGGTTTCACCATGTTGGCCAGGCTGGTCTCGAACTCTTGAGCTCGTGATCCACCTGCCTTGGCCTCCCAAAGTGCTCACAGGCTTGAGCCACCATGCCCGGCCCTAATTTTTAAATTTGTTGTAGAAACAAGGTCTTGCTATGTTGTCCAGGCTGGTCTCAAGCGCCTGGTCTCAAGTAAGCCTCCCAAAGTGCTGGGGTTCTAGGCGTGAGCCACCTCGCCTGGCACTTGCACCGTTTTTCTGTGCATGCATCTCCACTCCCACTGCCCAGGACCTGTGGACTTAGATTTGAGTCATTACTGAGCACCTAGCACCCAGCCTCATGCCTACCTCCCACCTCGCACTACCTGTTTGCTTGATGCATTAATAAATATTCCACCTGAATCCACAGCCCATTCACTCCTGTGTTCAAGAGCTATTTCAGGAAGTGAACCTCATTTCTGGCAGTGTTCAGTCCAGTGACCTCAGCTCTGTGTACCCGGCAGGGTGGCTACGCCTCTGGGGGAGTTGGATTCAGGGGTGGGGGAGAAAGAGTGTTGTTAGAGAGCTCGGTCTAGGACTAGAGGAACGTGCCCTTATGTAAAATACATCTCAAGTTAGGGAAGAAAGCAGCGGCTCTGTGCTTTGTTTTTTTTTTTTTTTTTCCTTTTTTTTCTTTCTTTTTTTTTTTTTGTTTGTTTGTTTGTTTGTTTGTTTTGGGGCAGGGTCTTGCTCTGTGGCCCAGGCTGGAGTGCAGTAGCGTGATTTCGGCTCACTGCAACCTCCACCTCCCGGGTTCAAGCAATTCTTGTGCCTCAGCCTCCCGAGTAGCTGGAGTTACAGATGCGTGCCACTATGCCTGGCTAATTTTTGTATATTTAGTAGAAATGGGGTTTTGCCATGTTGGCCAGGCGGTTCTTGAACCCCTGACCTCAGTGATCTGCCTGTCTCAGCCTCCTGAAGTGCTGGGATTACAGGCGTGAGCCATCGTGCCTGGCCCCCAGTTGTGTTCTGGCAGGGGAAGATGGGACAGAGAGGATGGGAGGGTGTCTGAGCCTTTCCCGGACTGACGGAACCTGTGTCTTCTCTCTTTTGTGGACAGGATGGTGATTGCTCACACCAAAGCCTTGGACCCCTCCCAGCCTGTGACCTTTGTGACCAACTCCACCTACGCAGCAGACAAGGGGGTGAGCCTGGGGGTCCCCACCCCATTTCTCCCTGCCTTTGCCTGGGCTTGTCCTGAAGCCTGCTCATGGGAACAGCTGGAAAGAACCATGTGCTGCCAGTCTGAGCTTTTTATTTTGTTTTACTTAGAAAGATAGAGACAGGGTCTTGCCATGTTGCCCAGGCTGGTCTCGAACTCCTGGGCTCAAGTGATCCTCCTGCCTCGGCCTTCCAAAGGGCTGGGGTTACAGGCGTGTGCCACCGCACTCAGCCGCAGCCAGTCTGTTTTCAAAGATGGTCTTTGGGTTAATGACAATTCTCTCTCTGCTTACTCTCCAGGCAGTGTGGCTTTCTGAATCCAAGGAGGCTGGGCATAGGGAGATGGGATTTGTTTGCCCGGTTTGGACTCAGCATTTTTTGTACTCGATTTAATAGACTCATAAAATGTCAAAGGTTTAAGTGAGCTTAGAGTTCATCTGGCCCAAACCTGGCTGATCAGAATCTCCAGGGGAAGTTTTATTGAAATGCCAGATCTCTGCGTTCTGAGATCCTGATTTAGTAACTCCAGGGTTGGAACCTGAGTTTTTTGTTTTTTTGTGTGTGTGTGTGAAGGCAAGGTCTTACTCTGTTGCTCTGGCTGGAGTGCAGTGGTGTGATCACAGCTCACTGCAGCCTTGAATTCCTGGGCCTAAGCAACCCTCTTGCCTCAGCCTTCCAAGTAGCTGGGACTCCGGGTGTACACCACTGTGCCCGGCTAATTTTAAATGTTTTTGTAGAGATGGGATCTCACTATGTTGCCCAGGCCAGTCTCAAACTCTTGAGCTCAAGTGATCCTCCTGCCTTAGCCTCCTAAAGTGCTGGGATTACAGGCATGAGCCACCGTGCCTGGCTGATACTAGCATTCTTTTTTATTTTTTATTATTTTTTTAAGATAGAGTCTTGCTCTGTTGCCCAGGCTGGAGTGCAGTGGCACAGTCTCAGCTCAGTGCAACCTCCGCCTCCCAGGTTCAAGCAATTCTCCTGCCTCAGCCTCCCAAGTAGCTGGGATAACAGGCACATGCCACCACGCCTGCGCTTGATCGTGGGAGGCAGAGGTTGCATTATTGTGCCACTCCATTCTAGCCTGGGCAACAGAGCGAGACTCTGTCTTCCAAACAAAGCGGAAAAAGATTATCTGCGAGAATGACTGCATTGGCCCCTTGGGTGGGAGGGCTTCTCCAGGGCAAGGTGAGGGGATGCCCAGTGCTGGGAGTGCTGCCTGGAGAGGAGTCAGTTCCAGTGGCGGGGGCCCTGGGTTTTGGCTGAGGACTGCGTGTTGGCAGCTGCTCTGCCTCTCACAGCCCTTCCCAGCTGCACACGTCGTGAGCGTCAGTGTGCAATCACAGGCCTGCCTCCTTTGGGCCACTTTGTGACCATGTTTTTTGCTTGTGGGGCAGGGTAATTTCAGGATCTAAATTGGTGCAGTTGGATGTTCTCAGCCCCGAGAGGCAGCTCTTCCCGTTGTAGGCTTTTTGTTTTGTTTTGTAGAAATGGAGTCCTACGATGTTGCCCAGGCTGGTCTCAAACTCCTGGGCTCAAGTGATCCTCCCACCTTGGCCTCCCAATGTGCTGGGATTACAGGCATGAGCCACTGTGCCGTGCTGATTTTCTTGATACTATTTTTTGTAGAGCTGGGGTCTTGCTGTGTTGCCCAGGCTGGTCTCGAACTCCTGGCCACAAGCCACCCTCCTGCCTCAGCCTCCCAGAGTGCTGGGATTACATCCCCTTCTTACCTTCTCTGTCAGAGGAGCCCCCACAGCATGTGAGTACTGAGTCATGCGGTCTTGTGGTTGCTGAACGGGCTCTGCTGCTCTGGTCCTAGGCTCTGTATGTGGATGTGATCCGTGTGAACAGCTACTACTCTTGGTATCGCAACTACGGGCACCTGGAGTTGATTCAGCTGCAGCTGGCCGCCCAGTTTGAGAATTGGTGTAAGACATCACAATCCCATTATTCAGAGCGCGTATGGAGTGGAAACGCTTGTAGGGTTTCACCAGGTAAGCGGTGTTGAACTTCCTGCTTGTGTATTCTCTCTGGGCAGAGATGCCACTTGCCTCCCCCACCCTGCCCTGCGCCCACTGCAGTGCTCCCCTTGCTTCAGCTTTGGGCTCACCTCCCGCTACCCTGTCCACGTTCCCTTCTCACCAGCAGCCAGGCCTCTGCCCCACTCGCTTGGTCCTCAAAGGTGGACTCCTTACTGGCATTGTTTCCAGACAGCCTCCTATCACCCGTGCCCAAGTGGTCTTTCTAAGAAATCCAAATTTTTATGTGTTTTTGAGACCGCCTCTCTCTCTGTCACCCAAGCTGGAGTGCGGTGGTGCGATCACTGCTCCCTGCAGCCTTAACCTCCTGGGCCCAAGCGATCTTCCCACCTCAGCCTCCTGAGTATCTGGGACCATAGGCACAGGCCACCATGCCTGGCTAATTTTTTTACTTTTGTAGAGATGGGGCCTTGTTGTGTTCCCTGGGCTGGTCTTGAATTCCTGGGATCAAGTGACCCTCCTGCCTCAGGCTCACAAAGCGCTGGGATTTACAGGTGTGAGCCACTGTGCCCGGCCACAAATCAAAATTTTTGAGTCCTGTCATTGGCTCCCCCAGGCCCATAGGACAAAGTCCTAACCCCTAGTCAGGACACTCAGTGTCCTCTGCTCTCTCCTGGGTTTTCATCCTCTTCTCTTCTCACTCCTGGCCACTGATCTGTTTCCACTGCCCTCATTTGCTCTCCTGCTCTTGCTTGAGCTATTCTTTCTGCCTGGAATGCCCAAGTTGGCACCATAATCACCAACTAAAAGATCCTTTTCTTTTTATTATTTTAGAGATAGGGTCTTGCTATGTTGCCCAGGCTGGTCTCAAACTCCTGGACTCAATTGATCTTTTTGCCTTGGCCTCCCAAAGTTCTGGGATTAACAGGTGTGATCCACTGTGCTAGCCTTTTTTTATTTTTTATTTTTTTCCTGACAGGGTCTTGTTCTGTTGCCCAGGCTGGAGTGTGGTGGTGTCATCATAGCTCACTGCAGCCTCGAACTCCTGGGCTGAAGCAATTCTCCTGCCTCAGCCTCCTGAGTAGCTGGGACTACAGGCGTGCACCACCATGTGCAGCCTAGTTTTAAAATATTTGTAGAGATGAGTCTCGCTATCAGGCTGGTCTTCACCTCCTGTCTTGGACTCCCAAAGTGCTGGGAATACAGGCATGAGTCACGACACGTGGCTGAAAAGATTCCTGTTTGGCATCTGAGTCTCCTCATAGCTGTCCCCTCTGTGGGGAGGTTTACCCTGCCTGCCCCAGGCGGAGGGAACCTTCCCCGTGCTCTGCCCTGTTGCAGCCGGAACCTGGCTCTCCCAACATTCTCGCCAGGCACCGTTGTTATTTCTTTGGCTCTCTCTTTGATCGGACTGTGGGCTCAGGAGACAGGAGTCCTATTTATTGTTGTTTCCCAGGTACTCTGCAATAGCTGACACAGTACATGCTAAATAATACCTATTGAGGGCATGGGTGAGATCTTAGAGCCATGTTTAATCACTCACTTTGTCTTTTTTTTTTTTTGAGATGGAGTCTCACTCTGTCACCCAGGCTGAAGTGCAATGGTGTGATCTCAGCTCACTGCAACCTCCACTTCCTAGGCTCAAGCGATTGTCCTGCCTCAACCTCCCAAGCAGCTGGGATTACAGGCACCTGCCACCATGCCCAGCTAATTTTTGTATTTTTGTAGAGGTGGGGTTTTGCCATGTTGGCCAGGCTGGTCTTGAGCTCCTGACGTCAAGTGATTTGCCTGCTTCCGCGTCCCAAAATCCTGGGATTACAGGCCTGAGCCACCATGCCTGGCCTGTCCTCATTTGTTTATCCATCTCATTTTTTGTCCTTCTCACCAAAGATATGTTGCTTTGTCTTGTGGGGTTTTTTTCATGTGGATTCCTGAACCCCATCCAGCCCCTTGTCCCCTCCCCAGCCAGCTCACACTCTTTTGCACAGCTCCTGGGACTCCCGTTGACACACAGGGAACAGCCACCCACAATGGACTGCACTGTTCTGTTTGCACCCTTAAATTTATCGTGCTTACAGAATGACACTTCTGTAAACTAGTCAAGTAGG
The DNA here is from genome assembly GCF_000001405.40 of Homo sapiens. Lineage (NCBI taxonomy): Eukaryota > Metazoa > Chordata > Mammalia > Primates > Hominidae > Homo > Homo sapiens. The sequence continues at coordinate 143,357 of NT_187651.1, forward strand.
GGGAAGTGATTTGTGGATATGCACCCTTGTTCATTCTCTTTGAAAAGGTAACCAGCTCTGAATTCTTTCTCCTTTTAGGAGGAGTTTCACTTGTCGCCCAGGCTGGAGTGTAGTGGTGCAATCTTGACTCACTGCTACCTCCGCCTCCCAGGTTCAAGCAATTCTCCTGCACCAGCCTCCCAAGTAGCTTGGATTACAGGCATGCACCACCATGCTCACCTAATTTTTTTTTTTTTTTTTTTTTTTTTAGTAGAGATGAGGTTTCACCACGTTGGTCAGGCTGGTCTTGAACTTTTGACCTCAAGCGATCCACCTGCCTTGGCCTCCCAAAGTGCTGGAATTACAGGCATGAGCCACCATACCCAGCCCCAGTTCTGAATTCTTAAGAAACTCGAGAGGGTCTAGGTGAGCATTGATAGAACCTCTGCAGTGCTGGGTGTGCTGGCTCACACCTGGAATGCTAGCCCTTTGGGAGACCGAGGTCAGAGGATCTCTTGAGCCCAGGAGTTTGAGACCAGTCTGCACAACATGGACCCCATCTCTACAAAATATTTAAGATGAGTTGTGGCTGGGTGCAGTGGCTGACGCCTGTAATCCCAGCACTTTGGGAGGCTGAGGTGGGTGGATCACGAGGCCAAGAGTTCAAGTCCAGCCTGACCAAGATGGTGAAACCCCGTCTCTACTAAGAAAACACAGAAATTAGCTGGGTGTGGTGGCATGCACCTGTAATCCCAGCTACTCAGGAGGCTAAAGCAGGAGAATCGCTTGAACTGGGGAGGTGGAGGTTGCAGTGAGCCGAGATTGTGCCACTGCACTCCAGCCTGGGCGACAGAGCAAGACTCCGTCTCAAAAAAAAAAAAAAAAAATAGTTGGGTATGGTCGTGCTTGCCTCTAGTCCCAGCTACTTGGGAGGCTGAGGTAGGAGGACTGTTTGAGCCCAGTAGGTCAAGGCTGCAGTCCGCCATAATTGCACCACTGTACTCCCACCTGGGTGACAGAGTGAGACCTTGTTTCAAAAAAGAACCTTTGCAATGATGGAAATGCCCCATGTCTGCACTGTCTGAAATGGTAGCCACTAGCTACATGTGGCTATTGAGGTCTTGATATATGACTAGGATAACTGAATTTATTTGGTTTAATTAAAAAAAATTTTTTTTTGAGACAGCCTTACTCTGTTGCCCAGGCTGGAGTGCAGTGGCGTAATCACAGCTCACTGCTCAACCTCCTGGGCTCAAGTGATCCTTCCTCCTCGGCCCCCCAAGTAGCTGGAGCCACAGTCATGCGCCACTACACCTAGCGAATATTTAGCCTTTTTATAGAGACTGGGTTTTACTGTGTTGCCTAGGCTGATCTTGAACTCCTGAGCTCAAGTGATCCTCCTGCCTCGACCTCCCAAAGTGCTGGGATTACAGACCTGAGCTACCATGCCCAGCCTGGTTTAGTTTAATTTCATTTTACATTCATTCATTCATTCATGAGATAGGGTCTTGTTCTGTCACCCAGGCTGGAGTGTAGTGGTGCAAACCACAGCTTTGACCTCCGGGACTGAAGCAGTCCTCCCACCTCAGCCTCCCAAGTAGCTGGGACCACAGGTGTGTGCCTCCATGCTTGGCTAACTTTTGTACTTTTTGTAGGCTAGTCTTGAACTCCTAGGCTCAAGCAGTCCTCCCACCTCGGTCTCCCAAAGTGCTTGGATGACAGACATGAGCCAGCGCGCCTGACCTAAAGACATATTTTTCCTTCTAGTGTAGTTCAGCCTTAAGACTGTATCAGCAGACAGAGACGGAAAAGTAAGAAAAATTGAGTATCAGTTTATATTTATAAATAAAGCAGTTGCTAATTGATGGTTTTTTTTTAAACCTCCTTTTTAATTCTGGGTTACATCATTCCCTGGCTGTCGTTTCTTTTTTTGTATTTTTTTATTATTATTATTATACTTTAAGTTTTAGCGTACATGTGCACATTGTGCAGGTTAGTTACATACGTATACATGTGCCATGCTGGTGTGCTGCACCCACTAACTCGTCATCTAGCATTAGGTATATCTCCCAATGCTATCCCTCCCCCCTCCCCCCACCCCACAACAGTCCCCAGAGTGTGATGTTCCCCTTCCTGTGTCTATGTGATCTCATCGTTCAATTCCCACCTATGAGTGAGAATATGCGGTGTTTGTTTTTTTGTTCTTGCGATAGTTTACTGAGAATGATGATTTCCAATTTCTCCCTGGCTGTCTTTACCCTAGCATCAGTGAGTCCTGCAGTCCCTACAGCCCCCAGTGAGGACAGATATTTTGGTCACCATCAAGTGGATCTTTATTTTTATCTAACATTTACAATTCTGCCAGTTCTTACTCTTAATTCTCTTTGCCTTGAATCCCAGGATCCACCTCTGATGTTCAGTGAAGAGGACCGGAAAAGTCTGCTAGAGCAGTACCATCTGGGTCTGGATCAAAAACGCAGAAAATACGTGGTTGGAGAGCTCATCTGGAATTTTGCCGATTTCATGACTAACCAGTGTAAGTGGCAGTTTAGCGCATGGGATAATGTACCCGTCCTCATTTTTTCAGGTTGCCTTGCCCATTCTGGACATTTTGGCTGTAAGAATATTGGAAACAAAGGGGGGAACCTGGTTTAATCCATGTAGGTTGTGTTGAGAATTTCCTAGGAAAAGTAAGTTGTGCTTAGGAAGTAGGAAAGCAGTCAGGCCCCCGCTTCCCACGTACGGTCAAAAAGCAAACATGAGAGTCTGCTATAGTGAGATGGAAATGGCTAGCTTGCCTTTTTCTTGTCTATTTCATAGCCAAGGATGAAGGAAAAACTGGACCTCATTATGGATTTACTTTTGGGATACACTCATTATTCCAGAGGAGGGTAAAAGGCTGAGAAGCTTAAGGTATTTCAGTCTGTTTTATGTTACTCATTTGCGAAAAGCAGGCTCATCGAATACAGGTGAGTTTCAACGCGTCTTGAATATGGCAGCATTTAAAAGTCTTCAGACCAGGCATGGTGGCTCATGCCTGTCATCCCAGCACTTTGGGAGGCCAAGGTGGGAGGATTGCTTGAGGCCAGGAGTTCGAGACCAGCCTGTTCAGCATAGCAGGACCCCCATCTCTACAAAAACTAAACAGATTAGCTAGGTGTGGTGGTGTGTGCCTGTAGTCCTAGCTGCTTGGGAGGCTGAGGCAGGCGGATAGCCTGAGCACAGGAGTTGGAGGCTGCAGTAAGCCATGATTACACCACTGCACTTGAGCCTGGGCAGCAGAGTGAGACCTGTCTTTAAAAAAAAAAAGGAGCTGGGCACGGTGGCTCATGCCTGTAATCCCAGCACTTTGGGAGGCCGAGGCAGGCAGATCACGAGGTCAGGAGATCGAGACCATCCTGGCTAACAGTGAAACCCTGTCTCTACTGAAAATACAAAAAAAATCAGCCGGGCGTGGTGGCGGGTGCCTGTAGTCCCAGCTGCTCGGGAGGCTGAGGCAGGAGAATGGCATGAACCCAGGAGTTGGAGCTTGCAGTGAGCCGAGATTGTGCCACTGCACTCCAGCCTGGGCGACAGTGAGACTGCTTCTCAAAAAAAAAAAAAAAAAAAAAAAAAAGAAAGGGTCTTCAAAGACAATAAGATCTGTGCTCTCACGTAGGGTGGATGAGGGGCTGCCAAGTTAGCAATGAATGTTTCCCATTTCTTCTTAGTTTATGGACTTTCCATAAACTCAGGATGGCAGTTTGGTTGGTTGGAGAAGGATATGGTGATGGCGGGAGTTACAATACATTACTTATAGGGGAAGATAGGCTTTTGAAAGGTTAAAGCTTAAATGTGAGAGTGGAAAAGGGATGAATGAATGAACATGATGAGGTGAGAGGGAAGAGGTAAAGGGAAAAGGAGAACAAGAAACTCTTCTCTGCGTGGCACCTGGGATGAATGGTTTCTGGGGACATCCCTGATGGCAGTTTTGTGGAGAGGTGCAAAGCTTTATGTGTTAAGAAATGAGCTGTAGGCTCAGTGCAGTGGCTCACGCCTGTAATCCCAGCACTTTGGGAGGCCGAGGTGGGTGAAAAGAAAAAATGGGCTGGGCGCCGTGGCTCACGCCTGTAATCCCAGCACTTTGGGAGGCCGAGGTGGGCGGATCATGAGGTAAGGAGTTCGAGAGCAGCCTGGCCAACATGGTGAAACCGTGTCTCTCCAAAAAAATAGAAAAAACATCCCTGTATGGTGGTGAGCACCTGTAGTCCCAGTTACTCAGGAGGCTGAGGCATGAGAATCGCTTAAACCTCGGAGGCGGAGGCTGCAATGAGCTGAGATGGTGCCACTGCACTCCAGCCTGGGTGACAGAGCTGGGTGGTGGCTCAAGATATGTTTTGTAAACCTGAAGATTTGAGATCATATAAGCCAAATCGAAACTTAATTGGCATTCATAACTTTTGGTTCTAGAGACTCCATGATCAACTAAGAGCCACCAAACATTTCCCATGTAGACTATTTTGACCATGCTGACTCTACTGACACTGTGGTTACTGAATTCACTTTATCTCTAGAAATTAATTCTTACTAATGGATGTCTGTCACTGTAAGATCCTTCTCTCCTCTGAAATAAGGAGAACATTTTAACTTCAGTAGTTTAAACTAGTGTCCTAAACTATAGCATTCAAAATGAGATAATATGCTAAAGTAATACACAAACCAAAAATCCCAGTGGCTAACACAAAAAGTTTTTCTTATTCATTTTACATATCCAGGGTAAGTCAGTAATAGACGCAGACACACCCAGAGACCAAGGATGAGTTGTGATCTGTCTGCACACATAGTTCACAATGCCTGAGTGAGTTGTGCTTTGGCCTTTAAACTTCCACTCATGTTTAATTAATAAAGATTTTGCTCAAATGCCATTTGATGATGAGTTTCATGACGATGATCAACTTTAAAAGAACTTGGAAGTACAATCCTCAAGCGTTTCTGGAAATAGCAGAACTACAATATTTGAGAAAAATATTTTTTAATGTATAAAAAATTGGCAGGGTAGGCTAGCAAGCAAGAGACCTAGAGAAAAGTTGATGTTACAGTCTCAAGTCGAAAGGCAATCTGCAGGCAGAATTATTTCCTTGAGGGATCTCAGTCTTTTAATATAATCAATTGACTGGATGAGCCCTACAATATTTTGGAAAATAATCTGCTTTTCTCAGAAATTACTGATTTTCATGTTAATCTCATCTAACAATACTTTCAGAGCAACATCTATACTGGTATTTGAATATATAACTCTTTTATCTTTTAAAATATCAAATAATACAGTTATATATACATACACACATATGTATATATGTCACCTAAATTGTAGATATCAGAAATCAGAATGCTGTGATATGAATATTTAGTATATTTTAATCATGATAAATTATACATCCTTCTACCTTATGATAATGGATTTTAAGATCTATGCTGTTAAACTCTATATTTATCCTTTAATTCATATCTTGCTTATTTTACATTTATCTGAGAATACATTGGGTCTACTAAATCTTTACTATCATTCACAAGTCTTACATCTTAAGATAACTTTTCAATAAAATAAAAATTCTTCATTGCACCTAGAAAGGAGCAGGGTTTTGAAAGCGATCAATGATTACTCTGATACCTAATATAATAATATAATATAGTAAAAATCAAAATACTTGAATGAAAAATGTAAAATTAATAGTTTTGCTTTCATTGTTTTTATTCCAGTGTCTATTTTAGAATGTTTTTACTCTAATTGTGTTTTTATGCAAAACCAAATGAGCTTTAGATAATTCCATTGATACATTACATATGAAAGTTCTCGTTAAATAGGATATAGCATATTTTACTTAAAAATCCAAATTATAAAATAAAGAGGGATTTTAAGTTGAGTCTAAAATTTTTGTTTCAATTTTGTTTTTATTTAAAGACTTGCTATAATTCTGTGAGAGAGCTATAAAAGTCTGCTCAGAAACATTATAATGTAAAATGGACAGAGAAGGACAATGAGATATTTAATTTGCCACGGCAAAGCCATTGCTGTGAAGAATGGATAATATATGTCAATGGTAATATATGAAGAAATAACACAGGTGAATAGCAGAGGCAATAAATCTGTTTTTACCACAGGACTTGTCTTACACTTTTCTCTTAGTAATAAATAAAATAATTTTCGACCAGATGGAGCTGGCTTGAAATCCTCTTGTTTATGGCAGTACATATCGGTTATGATTCAAAAAATATAGCCCATTTCCAAAAACCTGCAACAAAGAGATACTTTCTCAGGTGAGTGTTCAGATCATTATTCATTACAAAGTGTCAGTTTTGTCTTTATTGATCCTCATTATTGTAAGAAAGTATGTGGTCCTGTCTCCATTCTATTAAAACAACATTGTAGAGATTAGCACTGAGTCTTTCCAGCCATGTGCATCTGTTCATTTCCATCTCCAGCTTGAGTTTTTCTGTGTATTACAAAATAAGAAAACAAAAATGACACAATAATCTATTTTGTCTGGTTTTGCTCTTTATTAGTAGAAATAGACAAGTGAGGAGTTGGAGGAAGAAATTGCTTCTGATCTGTTTTAGATACAGGTGAAACTCTCCCTCCCTCCCCGCCCTACCCAGTCTTTCTCTGTCTCCCTCCCTGAGCCTATTCTTGCTTCTTCCCTTTACAAATAATTAACTGCTCAGGTCATGTTGAACCAAAAAATAGCGTCTGTAGCCCCTGTGTGCTTACTTTAAGTATATGTTACTGAAAAATGCGGAGTGAGCACTTAACAACTCATTCTCCTGGGAAACACAGTGCTACTATACCCCAAATGCTTTTCTTTATCATTTTAATTTTTATCTTCTTTACTTACATTTCCAACATCAGTTAAGAGGGTCTTGTAGTTTTCTAACTGAAAGGAGACTGTAAAATCTCCTTGCTCAAAACTCAGATGCAGAATATTATTTTTACTACAATAAATACATCTACAACAATGGTATTATATCTGGTTTATTTCAAAGTCAAGTTCTAATACAGGTAAACAAATATACTAATAAAGAGATAATGCTTTTCTCATGAAATGTATAATCTAGTAGGAATAAAGATAAACAATTTTTTTAAAAATTCTATTTCATTAAGCAAAAATGCAACTCAGAAGAATAATGTATATTAGCAGTCATTTACTATTTTTCAATTAAATTCCGATATATATGTAAAGTAAATTATTACTAATATCAAACATAGTTTAAAGAATTAGTGACTATGTGCACTTGGATCTCCATATGTAATGTACTATCAGCATCTTCACAAACACAGTAAATTTTAATAGGCAAGTAAAACTTATTTTACTAAACGATGATTACTCCTTCTATATTCATATTCCTAAACACATACAGTTTCTTAATGTAATTAAGTTTTTAACTAAAAAAAGGGAAATGCATTATTGAGGCGATAGGATTACTGGGTGGCTATAAACACATCTGCTGCACAGCTGACATTTATCTTCTACAATGAGCAGTGACAATTTTATTTTTTAATAATCAGTATGGACTAATCCTGATGATTTTTTTTAACATTTTCAAATAGGGCTGCATATGGCTTAAAATTAATATATACATGTGTACCTATATAATATTCTTATTTATTAATGGACTTCCTACATAGCTCATATTGACGTTAGATTTAAATGAAATTCCAGAAGGGTTTTCTATAGGTAAGTCATACATTGGATTTCCATATTACCTATGATTATCGAAGTATTTATTTCTGTTTTTAAGACTTCAGAGCAATTTTGCTGGTCATTTGTTTTCTGTGTTTTTATTTTGAAATTGTTCTTTGAGGCATTGTCCTATTACATTTTTAAGGTATGTTAATAAAATAATATTTTTAATGAAATTTTGCCTACTGCTTTCCAGGTGAACTCTTGTTTAAAGTATTAATTCACCAAAAATTACTTATATTCAGAAAATGAACTAAAAAAAATAATATGACGTGTTCAAGAAAGTCGAACAAAAGTTACGTGATGTTTGCAACATACACAACTCCATACCCTTCTCAAATAGTAAAGAGAATAGTAAGTAGAATAGGTAGTAAGCAGAGTAGGAATTGTGGAATATGGAACTCTCAGTCACTCAATTGACTTTATTTTCTAGTAATACGGGATTTGAATTATTCAAGCTGAAGCCATTAAATATTCATAGTGCTTCGTATTATAAAGTTATTGATTAATGTCTTTGGTAAAGAACACTATTATTTCTGATTACATCAAGGTCATCCCGAGGAACAGGACCAAAGCATAAAGTTTTATATATGAAATATGAGAAGTTAATACATAATTCATATTTAACAGATAACATAAATGTTAACCCCTTGGAGAATCTGAAGCTAATACCCATGTTCTTCTGGCAATTCTTTATACTGGCAATTTGGAAAATGCCAGTGTTTTATCGCTACCTATTCTTGTATTATGACATGAATTAATACATATCTGCCTCACTATTCCTGTGGGCAAAAAAAGACTGTGAATTATGTGCCAGAGAGAGATTTTACAAAATTAAATGAGGCAAAGTACTTTTCCTCTGTATACTCATTAGAAATATGCTGAGTAGTTCCTTTCCGTTCCTTTCACTTTCCGATAAAATATAATCAGTTCAGCCATATAACAGATATCTTTTAAACTTTTAATGTCCTCTGTTAGAATGAATATGATATTTGGGACCAATTCACATTTTGGAATAATGTACATACTAAGCATAAGTGAAGAATTTAAACATTAACTTGATTTAGGACTGGACTCTTAAGAGGTTTTAAAAAGTTGAAAAACGGAATTCCAACAAATTTAAATGGCTTGTTTAGGGTTTCCACAGGCAATACGGGTGGGTGCAATGGAAAGAGAATTCCTTTAATCTAAACGTGGGCTTTATTCTGGCTCTGCCACATATTGACTGTTTCATACAAATGTAACTTAAACTGCAGGTGTCATGATTTTTCACACATATACAAATAAAACAATGTTGATTATATAGGATTTGTTGAGAAAATGCAATTATGCCAAGTACAAGTATTTGGCCTATTATCTCACTTTATAAATATTAGCAATTCTTTTTGTGGAGGGAATAAATCTAACATGCTGGCTTTTAGAATTTCTTCTTATTTTTCTTTCAACTTTATTGCCATGTAACATCTTTAAGTCAATAAATCTGACAATTAGACTGTGGGTAATTTTCTTCCAAATCCATATCTTGTTTTCTCTATCCATAGTAGCATTTTAAAACAACAGAAGGGAACTTTAATTACAGTAGGTTGGGAGCCATTTTCTCCCTTTGGTCATATTTTCATTGAAATTCCTACATTGTTTAATATTAGGACTTAGTTTGAATATCACATCAACAAGGTTGCTCAATAGAAATATTATGGAATCATTTTTCTGTCATGCCACAGAACTTATTAACTGTATGTTCAAAATGCAGCTCAATTCTGATCATTTTTGCTACTTTCACCACTAGCATCCTGGTGCTAACCACCATCATTTATTGCCCAGGTTATTGAAATGGCCAGCAAACAGGTGTTTCTGATTCTGCGTAAGGCACCCTTCAGTACATCCTCAAAAGAGCAATTTGTATAATCACTTTAAAACATGTATCAGGTTATTACCTTTTTCTGTGTAAAACTCTGATCTCTCGTTTCATTCATTGTAAAAGTCAGAGTCTTGCACAATGCTTTATAGATGCTCCACCACATGAAGCCCCCAATTCTTCTATGGACTTCCCTCCTTCCACTATGTAATTTTCTCACTCAGCTTCACGTACAGTATTTTCTTGGTTATTACTAAACATGCAACAGATACGGTTTGTTCTATATCTTCCTCATGCTTTTGGTCAGATGCCATTATCCCAGTGAGGTTTTCCATAGCCACTTTATTCAAATTCCAAACAATCTGTCCCCTTAGACATTCTCCATTCTTAATTTTTTGCCATTGTACTTACTACAGTCTAACACACTATACATGTTACATTTTTGCTTATTGTTTATTGTATAGTCCCTAGAATATTAGTTCCCTGAGGACAGAGATTTCTGTAAGCTTTTCCAAAGATGTATCCCCAAAGCCCGGAATGCTACCTGGCAACAAATACTTGTTATAATGAATTAGAAGTGGGTAGATTCACACATCAGAGACAGCGTAGTGTATATAATGATTTTTTAAAGCATTAGAGTCATAGATATTAGGATTTGTATTATGTCTTCACCATTTACAATTATGCTACCCTCAACAAGTTGTTTAATCTTTCCATTCCTCAGTTTCCTCATGACTCATATATTGGAAATATTGTCTACCTTAGAGCTCTTCCAAGAGTAATATTGAGACAATGTTTCAACAATGTTTAGCACATTGCTGAATATTAATACATTATTTCTATTAATGTAAGAAATTTCATAGACTTGCTAGAAATAACGAGGATGGAATATAGATGAAGATCATAAAACATGATGGAAATAAATGTTGGAAAATGTGGGTGGTATCCTTAGCACACTCTCTAACGTAAGGAGTAAAATCTGTGTCATATGACTTTATCTTTCTTCTGGAAACTAACGGAATTTAGTAACACACTTTTCTTGACCTGAGGATTTGCCCTTACCACAAAATTGTTTTTGAAACTTGAGTGTTTACAATGGCTTTTTACCAGTTCTTTTATGTTCTACCAGTTCCTCTCCAATTTACTATGGACTGAAGTCAGACTAATTTGTTAAGAGCAAACAAAACAAAACAAAACAAAACAGTTATTACCTCATTCTAGCCTCAAAGCATCTGCCTTTTCAATGCAATCAAAATTAAATGCAATGAAAATTAAATGCAATCAAAATTAAATGCACAATTCTAATTTTGATGACTTTAGTCCCTGCTTATCTGTTATATTAGGCTGTTCTTGTATTGCTATGAAGAAATATCTGAGACTGGATATTATAAAAATGTTTAATTGACTCACAGTCCTGCAGGCTGTACAGGAAGCACAGTGGCATCTTCTTCTGGAGAGGCCTCAGGGAGCTTTTACTCATGACAGAAGGCAAAGCAGGAGCAGGCACTTCACATGGTGAAAGCAGGAACAAGAGAGAGAGAGTGTGTTGGGGTAGGTGCACTACCATGGAGACAGCACCAAGTCACGAAGGATTCGACCTCATGATCCAAACACTTCCCACCAAGCTCCACCTTCAGCACTGGGGATCTGGTTTCAACATGAGATTTGGGCGGGACATCCAAACTATATCATCTGTCTCCCTCATCCAAGACCATGTGATCCGTAGCTCACTTTTGTCTAGCAACAGATTAAATACAGCATTTTCTGTGTGATATCTTTGTTGAGGTCTTTGCAGATGGCTGTTTCTTTGTCCTGAAACTTTCTTCATCTGCTCTTTCAAAATGAGTGACTCTTCATCCTCGAAGTCTATGCTTATATATTGCTTTTCAGAGGAATCTTTTCTGAACTGGGCATTCTGCCTTCAACCAACTATTTTCTATTATAGTTTCCTGTTTGTGAGTTAATAGTCCTTTTGAAAATTTGACTACTCATTTACCTTCTTGGGTTATTTGAAATTATCTCCTCTTCACTAGATTCTATAGAAGCATAGCCATGCCTGCCCTCTTTACTGTTTCTCTACTGACTTGTTGCAATGAATATTGTCAGTAAACATGGAAATAAATCAGTTATTCAGATATCCTACCTTGGTGCTTGCTTAGATAACTCCACACTGTGATGCCTAATGACCTACACAGGGCTTTCTAGCAAGGAGTGACTTTCTTTCTGCTACGTGTAATAATGATCCGTCAACTTAAACATATAGTTATATTTCCAGCAGACGGTTTCTTGAAACTAATGTCCAGGGTGTAGTTATTCAAAAAAGCAAACTCTTCTCTTGATTTCTGCCATACATTGGTACTCTTTCTCTCTCCCTTTTTTATTTTATTATTTTTTTTTGAGACAGAGTCTCACTCTTTCACCCAGGCTGTGGTGCCATCCCAGCACACCCTGCAACCCATTGCCTCCCAGATTCAAGCGATTCTCCTGCCTCAGCCTCCCTAGTAGCTGGAATTACAGGCATGTGCCACCATGCCTGACTGATTTTTTGTATTTTTAGTGGAGACGGGATTTCACCATGTTGTTCAGGCTGGTCTCAAACTCCTGACCCCTAGTGATCCATCTGCCTCAGCCTCCTAAAGTGCTGGGATTACAGGCGTGAGCCACCCCGCTCGGCCTACTCTTTTATTTCTGTTTTGTCTTTCCTTTCTCAAGAAAGAAAACAAACCAAAACCAAAACAGTTTGGAAGACTTTATAGTATTCATCCATACAAAAGAACAAGATCATGTCCTTTGCAGGAACATGGGTGGAGCTGGAGACCATTATCCTCAGCTCCACCCATCCTCAGCTCCCACTAACGCAGGAACAGAAAAACAAATGCAGCATGTTCTTATTTATAAATGTGAGCCAAGTGATAAGAACACATGGACTCATAGAGGAGAACACCACACACTCGGACCTACCTGAGAGTAGCGGGTGGGAAAACGGAGAGGTTGAGGAAAAGTAACTAATGGGTACTAAGCTTAATACCCGGGTGACAACATAACCTGTACAACAAATCCCCATGACACGAGTTTACCTGTATAACAAACCTGCACGTGTACTGCTGAACTTAAACTAAAAGTTAACAAAAGGCCAGGTGCAGTGTTTCACACACGTAATCCCAGCACTTTGGGAGGCTGACATGGGTGGATCACCTGAGGTCAGGAGTTCAAGACCAGCCCGACCAACTAAATACAAAAAGTTAGCTAGATGTGGTGGCAGGTAATCCCAGCTCCTCTGGAGGCCAAGGCAGGAGAATCGCTTGAATCCAGAAGGCAGAGGTTGCAGTGAGCCGAGATTGTGCCACTGCACTCCAGCCTGGGCAATAAGAGTGAAACTCTGTCTCAAAAAAAAAAAAAAAAAAAAAAAAAAAGTTAACAAAACGTTCTTCTCTAGTTCTAAAGCACCAACACAGAGGTGATCAAAATACTCTAAGAAGCACTGGGAAACATTGAGGGGATGGTTCAAACATCAGAGCTAAGGCCTAATTTCCCAACAGTCATTATTTCTGTGGTATTTTGCATATTAGAGACGTATAGGTTCCTCACCTAATCCTTGTTTTTTCATTTTATTTTTAATACATATGAAAGTCATAATAACAAAAAAAATTCATACATCAGCAGCTCAGCTAGAAATAAAAGTCTCAATCTACTGGAAGCCCCTGTGAACTTGTATCAAATTCCTTTCTCTCTTCATAGAGGAAATAATGACTCCCAAAATGTGGTAATGAACAAATATCTCTAATTGTTTAAAATTTAGTATATGTGCAAGTCTCCACAGACACAATCATGATCATATATTTTTAGAAGTTAAAAACGTGTCTATCATCAGGGCGTGGTGGTTCATGCCTGTAATCCCAGCACTTTGGGAGGCCTAAGTGGGTGGATCACCTGAGGTCAGGCGTTCAAGACCAGCCTGGCCGACATGGTGAAACCCTGTCTCTACTAAAAATACAAAAGTTAGCCAGGCGTGGTGGAGGGTGCCTGTAATCCGAGCTACTCAGGAGGCTGAGGCAGGAGAATTGCTTGAACCCGGGAGGCGGAGGTTGCGGTGAGCCAAGACCACGCCACTGCACTCCAGCCTGGACAACAGAGCAAAAACTCCGACTCAAAAAAAAAGTGTCTATCTACCTTCTGCTTTATTTTGTTTTATATGACATTGATGATGTCCATCTATGTTGGCCCATATAATTCTTATCAATTATTTTAAATGCTGTTTAGCATTGTACTATATAAAAATATCAAAACACAGCTCCCTTTTGTTCATTATATTGCCATTTAGTTTTTTTCTCATTTTTTGCTATTTCAACAAAAAGCTGCTATGAATGTGTATGTGTGTATATATATATTAAATGTGTATATATATGAATGTATATATATATACACATATATATGTCAGAGTTTCTCTAGGATATAAACCCAGGAACAAAATTTAAAAATCATAGGGTGTATTGGATCTTACATCACTGCAGACCCTCTCAGCATTACCTCTTGTTCCAGTCAGAGCCTTGGTTACTATTTTTATGTAGACTTTGGTCAGTTTCATAAAGATGGAAGTGATAGTATGTGGCTTCAGACCAGAGCAAGAATTCACTTTCTGCTGTGGGATTTCTCAGACAATGTTGTGTGGATTGTTGTAGGCATTTTGCTTGTTACTCATAAATGCACTGTCTAGACACATCGAGAAGTTAGCATCCATGAGGCTATGCTTGAAAAATGGAACTCCTAGAGCTGATGGATACATATTTCCCCCGTTGTTTCACTTCAGTGAATGGTCATATAGTATTCCATCACCTAACTTAATAATGTGTTCTAGATTTTACTCTCTCTCCCTATAGCACCCATCCTGTTTCTTATTCTTACTCCACAATACACTCCCAACTTAAACACACAGTCTCTTCTTTAGGTGTTGGGGGTTGGGAGTTATTACAAGATGACATGGTGTATGCATTTATTTCTTTGTCTACGTTGATTGCACTGATTTACAGTCTCACCAGCAGTTCATAAAATCCTTCCTTGCAGCTAAGATATGGGCACAAGACTAAAATTTATATCTTTAGCTGATATCTCATTCCTGAACACTCATCTCATTTGCGACTGCCTTGAATATCAAATAGGCATCTCAACCTTAGTAAGTAAAAGAGAATTCTTTATCTGCATCCTGCCAATCCTGCTTCTTTCCCAGTAATTTTTCACTCAGTAATTTGAGCCATTATTAATCTATTTTCTAAAGCTTCAAAACATGGAGTCATTACCAGCTGTTTTATATACACCATTCCAAGCCATTAGAAAGTCAATTCCATTTCACCTGGAAGTTTATTGCAAATTTGACAATTGTCTCTTACATGAACTACTAAAATAGCTTCTCAGCAGCATCTGTGTGCTGCCATTATCCATCCTTCCTCCAGTCTCTTCCCCACCAGGCAATGGAAGTCATCTCTGGCAATATAATGCATTTCACATTAGTTTCATTTTTCCAGCTGAAAATCTCAAAAGTATTTCATTTACATGCCTAATAAAAGCTAAAGATATAATCTTGCTCAGAACTATAAGCTGGCTTCTCCACCTACCATTATCCTTTGCCTTGATTACTCTGCTCTATATCATCATCTTGCATACCCTAACACATGACTTTTATACTCATTGCTCCATCTGTTATAAACATACTGATAAATAATGTTTCCTCTTTAGCAGTGATTTCCTGATCTAATCAATATTTTGGTATCATATAAACTCATTGGATTATTAGTGATTATCACTAACCTGCTATCATACAATACACATTTAATTTCTTTTCTCCTTGTTTATTGTCTAAACTGCTAGGTAGAAGGGCACTTTATCTATTCTTATCACAAACGTAGGACAACGGCTAGCACAAGGTTAGGAACTTACACGCTATTCGATTAATTGTTGTTTAATAATTGATTAAAAACTCCAGAACTTTGGGTTCCATTCTTATGATGACAATAATATAATGCTAGGGATGCCAAGTGAATAGCAAGTTTAACCAAGTTATCCTGTATGGGGAGCCACAGTTACTTAAAATGTCTGACAATCCACAGTCCTGGTGATGATGTGGAATATCACTCTCTTAATCAATGCAAACAATTTATTTAATAGTCATAGTGCTAAAGATGGCATGCCCTCCAAATGAGCAATTGCACTCTTGGTTATGCATTTATATGAATATGTATATAGGAATAGTCATGATAAAACTACTAATTATTATAAAATTTTTGGAAAAAGCATAACTATTAAAAATGAAATTGGTAACTTAAGACTACTCAATACATCAGTAAAAATGAATGAACTAAGCAAAAACATGGATGAATTTCAAAAACGAAATTTATTTTCATTATTTATTAAGAAAGAAAATTTGCACTGTTTTCAAGTCTAATACCAAACAGAACTAAATGGTATTTCTGGATAAACAAATTAGAAAATAAAATTATGAAAAATGCAAGAAAAAAATTACCACAAAAGTTGGGATAGAAGTTACATTAAGAGATGGCATGGTCTTATACAAAGAAAACCCTAAAGACTCTGAAAGACTCCTAGACTTGGCAAATGACTGCAATAAAGTTTCAGAATACAAAGTCAATGTCCAATAGTCAGTAGTATTTCTATATAGCAATAATATTCAAGCTGAGAACAAAATCAAGAACTCAATCTCATTTACAATACACACACACACACACACACACACACACACACACACACACACACACATATAACTGAGAAATACGTTTAACCAAGGAGGTAAAATATTTCTACAATAAGAACTACAAAAGATGGGTGGAAGAAACCTGAAATAAAACAAACTAATGGAAAAATATCCCATGTTCATGGATTAAAAAAAATTAAAAATGACCATGGTGTCCAAAGCAATCTAAAGATTCAGTGCAATTTCTATCAAACTACCAATGTCATTTTTCACAGAATTAGAAAACAACAATCCCAAAGTGTATATGAAATTCTGAATTGAAAAAATGACCCAGATAGCCAAAGCAATTCTAAGCAAAAAGAACAAAGCTGGAGTCAGCACTTCACCCCATTTCAAATTATACTACAAACCTATAGTAACAAGAACAGCATGGTACCAATACAAAAACAGATACATAGTTTAATAAAATTAAATAGAGAACCAAGAAATAAAGCCACATACCTACAACCAACTAATCTTCAACAAAGCGTGCACAAATAAACAATGTGGAAAGGATACCTTTTTCAATAAATTGTACTAGAAAAAATGGATATCCGTATACACAAGAATAAAACTGGATTCCTGTATCTCACCATATATAAAAATTAACTCAAGATTGATTAAATACTCAAATGTAAAAACCTATACAATTCCTAGAAGAAAACCTAGGAAAACTTTACTGAATATCAGCCTTGACAAAGAATTTATGACTAAGTCATCAGAAGCAAATGAAACAAAAATAATAATAGGCAAATGGGACCTAAGTAAACTAAAAATCTTCTGCACAGCAAAGGAAATAATCAACAGAGTAAACAGGCAACCTACAGAACAGGAGAAAATATTCACAAATTATGCATCTAACGAAGTACTAATATCCAGAATCTACATGGAACCCAATAAGTAATAAACACATTATGTCATTACAAAGTAGGCAAATGACATAAACAAACATTTATCAAAAGAAGACATGCAGGTTGCCAACAAACATTAAAAAATACTCAAGATCACTGATGATCATAGAAATGTAAATCAATATTGAAGTGTGTATTAGTCTGTTCTCATGCTGCTATGAAGAAATACCCGAGACTGGGTAATTTATAAGGAAAAGAACTTTAATGGACTAACAGTTCCGTACGGCTGGGGAACATTCAGGAAACTTACAATCATGGTGGAAGGGGAAGCAATCAAGTCCTTCTTCACATGGCAGCAGGAAGGAGAAGAATGAGAGCCGAGCAAATGTGGAATCCCCTTATAAAACCATCAGATCTTGTGAGACTCACTCACTATCACAAGAACAGCACGGAGGGTAACCGCCCTCATGATTCAATTACCTCCCACCAGGTGCCTCCCATGACACATGGGGATTATGAGAACTAAAATTCAAAATGAGATCTGGGTGGGGACACAGCCAAACCACATCAAAAAGTGATTCATTTGACATGGTCTTCCCTATCTTCTCTCATTTAGGGTAACATTATTTCCTTGAATCAAAAGGGTATCCCTGTAGACTTTGAGTTCATCTTGACATCTTTGAACCATGGATTATCAATTTGCAAATGTTATTTGTTGAATTATTGAGCTATATTCCTTGACATGCTTTTAAGAATGATATTTTCATTAAAATAAATGAGGGACTCATCCTAATATTTAGGAAGATTTCTCAACATCATCACATACAATTATGAATTATTATGGACACAACAGTGGTAGTTTGGATTTTTATTGTGGTTAAACTTTTAGAAAGTACAAAGTATTCATAAATCTACATTTTAATATTTTATAATTCAAATGAATTTTAAGTAACTATTTTGATATTCTATAAATAAAAATGTCACCTATACTATATAAGGATTCACTCACTTCTCTCTGCATTCTCATCAATACCTGATGTGTTGTGACTTTTAAAAACTAGCCATTCTGACTAGTATAAGGTGACATTTCGTTGTGGTTTTAATTTTTATTTCTCTGATGATGAGACTGAGCATTATTTCATATGTTTGCTGTCCACTTGTATGTCTTCTTTTGAGAAATGCCTGTTTATGTACTTTGTCCATTTTTTAATGGGGTTATCTATTTTGTTGTTGTTGTTGAGTTGTTTGAATTTCTTGTCGATTCTGGATATTAGTACTTAGTTGGATGCATAGTTTGCAAATATTTTCTCACATTCTTCAGGTTATCTGTTTTCTCAGTTATTTCTTTTGCTGTGCAGAAACTTTTTTGTTTAATTAAGTCCCATTTGTCTACTTTTGTTTTTGCTAAATTTGCTTTTGAGGTCTTAGTCACAAATTTTTTGCCAAGGCCAATGTCTAGAAGAGTTTTTCCAGGTATTCTATGAGTACTTTTATATCTTCAGGTATTATATTTAATTCTTTAATTCATCCTGAGTTAATTTTGTGGATGGCAACAGATAGGGGCCCAGTTTTATTCCTCTGCATGTGGCTTTCCAATTTTCCCTGCACTATTTATTGAAGGGGATATCCTTTTCCCAGTGTATGTTTTTTTCAATGTTGTCAAACATCCATTGACTGTAGGTAGGTCCCTTTATAAATATCCACTAATAAAGTGACAAAGTGCCTTTGTCACTTTATTCCTGGAATTTCTATTTTGCTCTATTGAGTATTGTGTCCATTTTTATATCACTATCATATTGTTTTTGTTACTATAGCCTTATAGTATAATTAGAAGGAATGTAAATTTGTCCCACCTCTATTAAAACAGTATGAAAATTTTTTCAAGTATTAAAGAGCCACAATTCACTCTATCAATCCTATACTGGGTGTATACCCAAAAGAAAAAATATCATTATACCAGAAAAGATATTTGCACTCATTTATTTATAGCAGCAATATTCATAATACCAAAGATATTGAATCAACATGTGTCCATCAACAAATAACTGGATAAAGAAAATGATGTGATATACATATATACATATATACACACACATACACGCACAATGAATACTACACAGCTATAAAAAATAAAATCATTTCACTTGCAGCAATATGGAAGGATAATTTTACACTTTATGTCTTAGTCTGTTTTGTGCTGCTGTAACAAAATACCTGAGACTGGGTAATTTATAAAAAATAGAAAATTATTTTCTGATAGTTCTGTAGGCAAGGAAGTCAATGATCAAGATACCAGCATGTAATGAGGGCCTTCTGTTGCACTCTCAGATAGCATTAGTTTAAATGGCAAGAGAAAGGCAGAACTCTATTTGAGAGGGCTGTTGCAACCTTACAGCATGATACATCTTGTGAAATATGGTTTTGAACATTTTTATTAAAAATGTAGGCATCAAAATCTCTACCATTTGTGTCATGTTATAATAATAACTATAAAACTGCATTATTCAGAATATGTAACAATAAAAATTAATATTAAAAAGTTTTAAAATGTATTTGCTTTTGCATATATCGTTTCTATTGATCATAACAACCAGATGTGATAACCAGGGCCAGATATTTCTACTGTTATCATTAGAAATCAAAGAAAACTAACATATTGGATGGTTTTAAAAATTATAAAAATTGTAAGTGTACATATAAATATTAACTTGTAAGTCATCTTGCAAGTATTATAATCAGATTTCATTTTCAAATCGTGATGAATCTAACATGATACCTAAGTTTGTATATTGAACAATGTGTATACATGTGCACACACTTTTAATTTATATTTTTCTCATTCTGAGTGATAATGCAGCAAAATTTAAAGAGATTACACTATAATTATGTTTAAAATCTTACTTGTACTTTTGAAACAAATCACAGGTTGAGTCATGATAACAGGA
The DNA here is from genome assembly GCF_000001405.40 of Homo sapiens. NCBI lineage: Eukaryota > Metazoa > Chordata > Mammalia > Primates > Hominidae > Homo > Homo sapiens. Next base: position 163,447 of record NT_187651.1, read on the forward strand.
CAAAATATACTTAGCTGCTGAATATAAACAAAGTATACAGAAGCGTAAATCTTGCGAGCACAAAAGTGTTAAAAACAGCAAGATCTAGAGGCTCAAGTACAAGAGAGATATATTATACCAAGAGCAGTAATCTCAAAAATTTATATCCCAAATGTGTAGACTTGATCTTATTTTCAGTCAGTGTGTTCTGTATGGAAGATGAACATGCTCCTGACAACGGAGTATGATTTAGAAAACTATATCCTGCACAGAGGGATATAAAATGTGATTATATACTGCACTTCTGTGCAAAATTTTAAACAGAATTTAATCAGTCACTTTGAAACCTAGATGTATTTGTGGAACAATGACATCACTTTGAAATTATGTGTAGTTTGTAAATGCACAAAATTAATAATGTATTTTGTGTAAATGGATTACTTTGGAAAGAAACTCATAAGAACTACATTATCAGACAAAACATTCTTTGAAAATGTGTGTGCTACAAGGCAATTTGCCATTTCATTTTAATAGAATGTTCCATGCTGAAAATGTCTAACTGCTCAGAAGTGGAATAGGAGTGTAAATTTATTATCTGAGAAAAGAAAATTAATTGACACAGGCCAAAAATGTAATGGAATTAGACCCATGTGCCTTAGTGAGAACTTAGGAACTCGATCTGGGCTCTATGGAGTGACAAAATTATGCAAAAAAAAAATGAAGTATGTCATTTTTGCACAAAGCTCAGGATTTCTCAAAGGAATATTACATAAAATAATGAAGTCTCCTTTATCTCCAAGACAGTCCAGTCTTAGAACGCAATGGAACATGCCATTTGAAATAAAAAACAAATTTTGTTTTTGTTTTGTTTTGTTATGTTTGGTGCTATTTTAAGTATTTAACATTCATAAAGAGAGAATTAGCAATTAATGAGATAAAGTTTAAAAAAAATCGAGATCAGGACAAGGTAAAAAAAAATCATTCAGTCTTGCAAATCTGTTATTTAATAGGTCATGTTTTAAGAACTGGGAATACAGATACTACGTGTATTTTAAATAGAAAATTTGAAATGTACAAGAAGTCATTTTTAAATATAGTCACTCTGCTATAAAGTCAATCTCTAAAACTCAATCTTTGTGTCTAACTGAAACTGTACCCTGTGAACAACATCTCCCCATTCCCTATCCCTTGCCTCCAGCATTAACTAGCATTCTACTCTCTACTTTTAAGGGTTTGCCTTTTTTCGATTGCTAAAAAGTCTATTTTCAGTGTTCTCACAACAAAAAGATAAATATGTGACATAAGAGATGTGTTAAGCAGCTTGATTTAATCATTCCACAATATAAATATATACGAAGACATAATACTGTACCCCTCAAAACAATTATTATTTGTTTATTTAAAACATTTAAAAACAAAAAATGAGACAAATATCAGGAAAGTAATTTTATACATAAGCTAGATAATTGCCTATAGCTGCGTATGCTGTGAAATAATTTCTGTTTGAAAAGACAGGAAAAATTATATGGCAAAACCATAGTGCAGTAATAAATTTGCCATGTTTAGTAAACAAAATATAGTTCAATGTGACTGAAGCATACCAAGAGGCAGAAGAATGTGGTGTACACTGTAGTGTAGAGGAGTGTCTTAGTTTGGGCTGCTATACAAAATACCATAGATTGAGTGGCTTACAAATAACAAAAAAAGTATTTCTTACTGTTCTAGGGGTTGGAAGTCCAAAGTCAGAGTGCCAGGATGTTCTGGTTTTGGGGAGGGCCCTTTTGCGGTTGCAGACTGTTGGGTTTTTGTATAAGCACATGGGGAAAGAAGTGAGAGCTCTCTTAGGTCCCTTTTATAAGAACACTAAGCCTATTCATGAGGCCTCTACTATGACAACCTAATTACCTCCTGAAGGTCCCACTACTAATACCATTACATTGACAGTTACGATTTCAATATACAGATTTTGAGGGTACACTTTAAAAATTCAGTCCGTAACATTCTGCCCCAGGTTCCCCAAAATTCATGTCTTCACATGCAAAATGCAGTCATTCCATTCCAACAAATCCACAAATCTTAACTCATTCCAGCCTCAAGTCCAGTCTAAAGTCCAAGGTCTTATTTAAATATTACCTAAATCAGATGCAGGTGAGCTTCACGGTACAGTTCATTCTCACAAAATTTCTCTTCATCTGTGAACCTGTGGAATCAAACAACATGAACTCTCAAAATACAATGGTGAGACAGGCATAGGATAAACATTCCCATTCCAAAAAGAACCACTATTCGAAAAAAATAAAATATATGAATGCTGGATCCCAAGTAAATCTAAAACCTAACAGGGCAAACTCCATCAAACCCTAAGGTTCAAGAAGCATCCTCTTTGGCTTGATGACTCACCTTCCAGACAGTCCCCGACAGCTCAGTGAGGCACTGCTCGCTGCTGACTCTATGCACTGGACCCACTTATGGCACAGTCTTTTGTCAGGGCTGAGGTCACTCACCCAGGGCTTCACTGGATGGCCCTCCCACACAGCTCCTCTGAGCATCATTTCTGTCCTTTGAAATCAAAATGGAGGTAACCTTGGCCCACCTTGCCATACCCTCTGGATTTTTGGTAAAAGCAGCAGCTGTAATTGTCTCCAAATCCCCTTTGCGCCCCTTCTTCCGTAATTTTGAAGGAGAGAATAGCACACATCCACAACTGAATAGCTCTCGGGTCCGGGCCTGTAGGGCTTAAGCATTCCGAATGTCTTCCTTTATTTCGTCCCATTATCTCTGTTTCCTTTAGTCCCAACTGGCAGTGTTTCTCCTGGTATAATCCCATTTCTAGTCATGGTTTGTGTTGAGATGTTTGATTAAGCCTGTGGTTCACACCCATATTAATCAAATCAGTAAGGGTCCGAAACACTCTTCATGTTCTCTTCAGAACACACTTTCTCACTTTTTTTGCAATATGGACAGGCTGAGAATTTCCCAGATCTTAAATTATGGTTACTTTTTCCTTAACAATTCCATCTTCAAACCTTTTTCTTTTTCTACATTTGACTCTACGGATTCAGAAGGAACCAAGCTGCTGCTTCTACATGTTGCTGAGAAATCTGCTGGGTTAAATGTCCAATTTCACTGCACACAAGTTCCACCTTCCGCAAAACACAAGAGCATGAATACAATTCAAAGAAGTTTGTTTCCACTTTTCAACATGGATTGCTTTTGCTCCATTTTCCAATAACATTTTCATTTCCATTTGAGACTCCAACAGAATGACCTTTACTGTCCATATTTTATCAATATTCTGTTCATGATTATTTAATTATTTTCTGAGAAGACAGCGTTTTCTTCTATATTTCTTTCCGAGCCCTCACGAGAATTGGCTTTTAAATTTCTTCCACAGTAATCTAGCATTTTGCATAAAACCTCATCAATCTCTGCCAATCACTGAGCCCAAAACCATTTTCACTTTGTTTTAGGTATTTATAATAACAGCACTCCCACTTCTCATGATCAATTTCCATCTTCAGCCGTTCAGGCTGCTTTAATAAAGTTCCATAACCTGAGTGGCTTTTAAATAACGGAATGCACATCTCACAGTTCTGGAGGCTGGAAGTCCAACAGCAGAGTGCCAGCATAATTGGGTTCTGGTGAGAGAGCTCTCTTGGGTTTCAGACTGCTGCCTTCTCAATGCAGCTTCACATGGTGGACAGAAAGAGCTCTCAAGAGTCATTTTTAAGGGCACCAATCTAATTTATGAAGCCTCCACCATAATAAGCTAATTACTTCCCAAAGTTCATTATAAATATGCAGCTTATAGGTCCTGCTACCATCATACTGAAGGTTAAGTTTTCATCACATGAATTTTGAGGGGACACAACATTCAGTTGCAACAAAAAATACTCAGTGGTTTTTAATTACAATATTGATTATGTAAATACAGAATAAATTTTAGCTCTAAACATTATCCATGATGTGATTAATTAAATTACTAGTTTAAAAAATTGAATCTGTAATTTATCTTGCCTCTATAATTATTATAAGAACTTGTAAACTTTTAACTTGTTTTCTTTAATTTGACCATTTCTGAAATTGTATCTCTAAGTATTGATATATACACTTCCTAGTGCATATAAAAGTTATGCATATTTAGAGTAATAAGTAGTGTGTTATCATGTTTTTATATCAGGGCAGGAAGGGAGAAGTTGAAGAACAAAGTGTCCTTTTCAAGAACTTCAGCCCACGTATGTTTCTACAGGACTATAACATGTCACCAGCCACAAGGGCAAGGAGACTGGGCATTGTAGTTATTTGGCAGGACACATTGCTCTTTCAAACAAAAATGGCATTCAGAAACAAGAAAGTAGGGAAGAGAGGTTTTGGTTGGACAACTTGCATTGTTGTCCCTTCTTTTCTTAGACTTCCAAATTCTTGGTTTCAGAATTCTTTATAAGGTTACCCCTCTGAGTAATTTTATCGGTCCATTAAATCTCCCAAGTCCAGGTCCCCAAGCTCTTCTCAACTAGTATGACAGCAACTTGTATAGAGATGTCAATGCAGTACAAATGCTTGTTTTAAAGTTGTTTTAATCCAGCTTCTATCATTCTAAATATTGTTTTAATCCAATATTCTAATTCAGAATATTGAGAATAAACTAATCTTACATGAAATATCTTTTTTCTCCTATTATTTGATATGTGTGTCTATAAAATAACATTTTCTAATTACAGAATGTGCAAGCAAAAAACAAAAAGGGCCTGTGTCCCTAGTCCCATTTTCTTGCTTGGAGGTAACATCCACAACATTTTTAGTTTTCTGTTGTTCTTCTCTAATGCTCCCAATAATATACCTTTGTTGTGGTTATTGTTGTTATTATTGCTCTTGCATCAAGCACTATCTCTTAGTGCTCATGCACGTCCTTACCGAGGTCCATTTCTTTACTCTCTGCCCCATTCCAAGTTGTGTTAGGTAGAGGATTATACTGATCAAGTCCTGTTTTTAGCTATCTTCATAACATTAACACTTTAAACCTCAATGTCTTCACTGTTCTACTGTCCTATGAGCTCTAGCAATCTCAAGTTTCATGTCACTTCTCAGACTATGGCAATGGTAATCTGCATTAATGGCAAAATCATTAATATTGATGAAAATTTTTATTTTCTGCCCTTCCCAAAATCATCTACTTCTTTGGAATTTACATTAGCAGGCAACAATGGCAGTGGCAATACTACCTTTTGGAAGGTAACTGTAGCTCCACCCTTATCTGTAAAAAGATATGTATTAAGACCCCCAGTTGATGCCTGAAACAGTGGATAGTAAACATGTACTATTTTTCCTACACATACATACTTATAATAGACTGTAATTTAAAAATTAGGCATAGTGAAATTTAACTAATAATTATAGTAGTTTATTAGTTAAACTACTACTAATTATTATAGTAGTAGTATTTGTTTAAACTAATATACTCATTATGGGAGTAGTATTAAACTAATAGGCTAATTATATTAGTTTAATAATTCTATTAGTTTATTAGTTAAACTAACACTACTAATGATAATAGAATTATATTAGTTATACTAATATATTATGTATAGGAGTAGTATACTTCTATAATTATATAGGAATATAATTATATTCCTTTTACTAATAATTATATGAACATAACTAATAATAGAATTATTATAACAATATACTGTAGTAAAAGTTATGTGAATGTGGTCTCTCTTTCTCTTGAAATACCTTATTATTATCTACTTTTCTTTTTGTGATAAAGAAAACAGGGAGTAGGATGGACAACCTGAGAATTTATCACGTTATGGTACACAATTTCAAAGTTATTATTTCTATAACTTTTATTTAATATTTTTCAAAACATGATTGACCCCTGATAGCTAAAACTGGGGAAAGTGAAACCGCTGGTAAGGGGGGACTGCTGTGTTGCTAAAAGTGTCTTCCTTTGCTAAATGTACCAAGAGTAGATTCTCAAGAGGAGTAACATAGATAGGAATTTACGTTGTAGATGGCCTCAGCTATTGCTAAATATCTACAAATTCACTTGGGAATAATATAAGCAGCCACATCAGCAACAATATCTTGAGTAATATTGTTAATGGAGCATCAGGAATTAGGGCTTTGCAATTATGAGATACATTTTTCCAAAGACATGATGCAAACATCCTTAGCAGTAGAAGAAAAAAGTTGAATTCCAACTCTTTGTCAAGAGGCATTTTTGGGAATTGTTATTATATCCAATTTTCGCCCAGGATTATGTGGCATGATAAATATGCCTTACAATAACTTAGTTAAGAATATTATAGGTAATACATATTTCATCACCTTAAGAAATGTGAATGGCTGTTTGGAGGTATATTAACATCATGTAGATGGAGGCTCAAGACTGCTGAGATAAAATTGAATACATTTAGAAAGACTGATGGCATATTTTCCTGAAGAGAATCTTTAGAAAACCAAAGAGTTAATGTCAGGTTTTCATATGTCTTAGTAGTCTGAATAAAACCTGTTAAATAATTTTTCCTGGAAGAAACATATTACTATTTAATTTTCAAAAAGTGATATTAATAGTTAATTATCCAGTTATCTGGACTTTTTCCAAAAGAGTTTATCTATAAAGAGCATCTACTCTATGAAATGTAGAAATAAACTCAAAGGATAGTAAATCAGTATTCAGTCTGTAAATATTACCTCACTGTGTCCATGACATTTGTGAACTTAGTAACCAAATTTAAGGATTTAATGTGTTTGCTTGTTGTTAACATATATGGAGAGAGAAAAATAAATGGATGAATTTTCAGAATTTATCTAATTTTCTCCTCCATCAAAGTTAAAAATTAGCTGTTTGATTTCCTATACTGAGCTAAAATTCTCTGGCATTTTATCTTGATATTACTGACATCCTGGAAGGAGTATCTTGTTTGTTTGGCAAGTGGATTTTTTTAAAAAAATAAATTATTGCTTCATAATTTTTATTGTTTATATTTCAAGGTTATGAAAAATGCCCTTAAAAAATAGATGGTATATATATATATATATATATATATATATAAAATATATATTTTAATCTGCATGTAGTATACCTGTTGTGACAAAAATAAACGAAAGCTTAATTTCTTGCCAAGTTGTAGACTATTACAGTATATTATTTTAAGCGTTATGCTATACATACTTCTTTTGAAAATTTATGGAGTACATGAGATGTTTTGATACTTGCATAATAATCACATCAGGGTAAATTGAATATCCATCACTTCACACAGTTATCCTTTGTGTTACAAACAATCTGATTATACTCTTCTAGTTATTTTTAAATGTACGATTAAATTATTTTTGACTATAGTCACCCTGTTGTGCTAGCAAATGCTAGGTCTTATTCATTCTTTCTAACTATGTTTTTGTACCTATTAGTCTGCCCCGCTTTCCTCCCAAACCCTCACTACCCTTCTCAGCCTGTTAACCTTTATACTGTTTATCTCCATGAGTTCAATTGTTTTAAGCCTTAGCTCCCACAAATAAGTGAGAGCATCCGAAGTTTGTCTTTCTGCGCCTGGCTTGTTTCACTTAACATAATGACCTCCAGTTCTATCCACATTGTAGCAGATGACAGGAACTCATTGTTTTTTATGGCTGAATGGTATTCCATTTTGTATATGTACTATATTTTCTTTATTCATTCATCTCTTGATGGATACTTAGGTTGATTCCAAATTTTGGCTATTGTGAGTAGTGCTGAAATAAACATGGAGTGCAGATATCTCTCTGATATACTATGTCCTTTCTTTTGGTTATACACCCAGGAGTGGGATTGCTGGATCATATGATAGCTCAATTTTTGCTTTTTGAGAAACCTCCAGACTGTTCTCCTTAAGGGTCATACTAATGTACATTCCCACTGACAGTGTGCAAGGGTTCCTTTTTCTGTATATCCTCGCCAACTTTTGTTATTGCCTGAATTTGGGATAAAAGCCATTTTAACTGGGGCCTCTTAACTTTTTCCCCACACATTTCTTAATTCCTTGATGAAAAATGCTAAAAGATAAGTCACTTTCATACTTCCTAGATACAGTTATTCATTCACTCTTTTATTTTTTTAAGTTTCTTATTTAATAGATATGTATTAAATATTTACCTTGTCTCAGCCAATGTAATGTGTGACAGGCATACAAAGATGAATATAGCAGAAAGTTTATGCCTCTTAAGAAGCATAATGAAGTCATTTAAACAAATAATAGCTACAAATTTTGATGAGCACTGTCATAGAGGTAAGAATATTATGGTGGGGTGGGATGGAAGAAATTAAAATATGTCAATCTACTTTGCGTTGTAAGGAAAATCTTGGCAAAGAAGATACATGTTATGATTTGGCTCTGTGTCCCCACCCAAATCTCAACTCGAATTGTAATCCCCATGTGTCATGGGGAGGGACCTGGTGGGAGGTGATTAGCTCAAAAGGGTGGTTTTCTATGCTGTTCTTGTGATAGTGAGGGGGTTCTCAGGAGATCTGATGGTTTTATAAGTGGCAGTTTCCCCTGCATGCTCTCTCTCTTACCTGCCACAGTGTAAGACTTGCCTTGCTTTCCCTTCACCTTCCACCATGATTATAAGTTTAATTATAAGTTCACTTATAAGTTCAGCCATGTGGAATTGTGAGTCAAGTAAGCCTCTTTTGTTTATAAATTATCCATTCTCAGGTAGTATCTTTATAGCAGTGTGAAATGGACTAATAAGATAAACTTCAATAGAATACTTAAGAAATTGTGGTAATCAACTAGTTTATGAATGGAAAGAATCATTTTATCAAAGGAAATTAAGAGCATAACAATGTGGCATTAAAACAGATTAGGGAGTTCTGAGGGTTGTAAGGATGATGGAACAGGTACATAATAGGACAATATGGGAGAATAATTAAAGAAGTCCTGAGGGTAGGTCACTGAGGCCTTATATGTTATAAAAGGGGGATTTTACTCTAGGAATTGGGAAAGTGTTTGAAGAAAGAGAATAGTGTGATTATATTTGCTTTTTAGTTTGAAAAGAAGTAGCCTGGAAATGAATGAGATTACAGCCAGAGAAGAGAAAGAATATATTTTGATGAAAGAATATATTTGGGTACTGATACAATAGTCCGGGTTAAAGATGATTTGGACCCTGGCACATGGAGGATGCTGTGGGGTCATAAAGGAAGAAATGGTAATAAAAATAACTAAAGTTTTATTGGATGAAGTTTTCAAGCCAACAAAGCATAAAACACAGACACAAAAACGACGTCTAAAATGATTTCTTAGTTTCTTAGTCATGTATTAGGTGTCAACCAAGACAGGGAATACAGACAGAGCAGTAAAGAGTTCAGCCCCAGACTCAATCCTATATGTGATTTTTGGGCCCATCCATAAACAATGACAAAGACTTGACCAAGTGGGTCCCACAGGGAGAGCTGCCCTCCCCACACTAGTGCATAGTCCTCTAATGGCAGTTTCAGTAAGGGCTGCAGGGCCATGCTCACACACAGATCAGCATCACTTGACTGGTGCCTCCCCTGGAGGCCTCTCCACTGTGGGACCTTGGCAGACCTTCCCCAGGCATGTTTGCCCAAGACCTCCTTTTCATGGGGAGAGGAGGAGGAGTCTTGAAGACAATTGTCTTCCTTCTGATTCAATACTCAGTGCTTTTCCGCTCCCAGCCTTTTCCTGACCTTCCATAAAACTGCAGGCAGGAGCCTGTTGTTCAGGGTTCCTTTGATAGTGAGACAACTCCACATCTGTGCTGACCCATGTGATCCTTGATAGAGCTGTTTCATGAAGGAAAAAAAGGATGGGGACTGGACCGTCAGGGCTTTTTCCAGTTTAACCTCAAAGGTTTGTTAATGTCCTTTTGTCTTGATGTCTTAATTGCCTACTCCAACACCTGGCTCTCTCTCCAGAGTAGTTAAGCTCCTGATGGCTGGGGATAAATTTAATGACTACTGTTTTGTATAAGTTGAGGTTAATCTAATTAATTTACCTAGAGGGAAAATTCTGACCTCTATCTCTGAGACCTCATCTAAAACACAGAGGTCATGAAGATAAATCTGGCTTCTGCCTTCAAGGAGCTTACAGTCTGGTGAAGATGATAGCTGGATAGCTAGACATAACAATAAAACCACAGCTGTTCCCTTGTGATAATTTCTGTTATGAGTTATGTACATTGGAATATGAAAAATATATAAATGGTACATAACCAATTCTAGGAGGTCAGGGCAAGCTTCCTGGGAGAAATGCTGTCTATAGGTAGACACAGAGAGACAAGAATCAAAGCCTCTTCTGAAGAAGGGTTAAATAAATCTCAGGCAGATAGGCTATGCATGACCTGCTTCTTTTATCTGTCATTTTTGTTGTTCAGTTACTTGCTAAATTTTAAGAATTTTATATATATATATTATATTTATAATATATTATATATATAATATACATGTATATATATATATATATATATATCTTCTACATATCAGTGCTCTGTCAATTCAGCCTAATTCTGGCAAAAGCATTAAGGACTTCAATATTTACCAGGTTTGAAAGGGGAGCAGTCCTTTGAATTAGAATTATTTGAAAAATGTAGGGCTATTTTGAAACAACTACCCAATTGAAAATGCATGGACACTATAACTATTATACTTGCAGATGCATACAAAAATACTTTTATTGTCACATGGGCACAAAGATGTATATTGAAAGCTGTTCACTGAAACAGTATTTATAATAATGAAACCTGGAAGCAACATATCTCTTAATGGGGATATAGACAAGTAAAGTACAACATATACATGTTATAGAAAAAAATGCAGCCTTCTCAAAAATGGGTAAGCTGTATAGATATAGAAAAGAAAAAAGCATTGTATAAATAATATGTACACTTTAATAAAAGTTGTACTAAATTTTAAATGTAATATAAATATCATACCTTCTATATATATAAAATTATCAAAAAGACTGAATTATAATACATGAAGAGTAGGAAAAAATAGTTGCACTGAGTTTTATATTTTCTGAATGTTTAAATCTTTCCACACAATATGTAATAATTATACTTTTAAAATGCCAGTAAGGTAATATATACAAATAGCTAATTAAAGCTTAATAAGAACTTTGGAAAAATATTTTTAATAAAGGTTTTACATACATCAGGGTTACAATTAAATTTAACATGCTTTTTATTTTGTCAATTTCTTTTATTTAAAAAATACTTAAACTAACTTCCTTTTTGGTTTTTCCTATTAAAAGAAAAAGCATTTTGCCCTCATAAAAGAAAATTAGTTTCAGATTACTAGTAATTATTTAGGTACTAATTAAAAAATAATGAATCTCAGTTACTAAATACACAAATAAGGGAGTTATATGAAACTGTGCAATAGTCATTCTATGGATAGTCATATTTAAAATAAAATGAAAAGAGACTAAAATATGCATTTGTGCTTTTAACTCTGAAAACCTGAATACCTATTCAACTGTTGATTCTGAGTATTTACAGAACTTTATTTCTTCTTTGGACATGCTTTCGCAGTTTTTACCTAATGTATACACATTTTTGCCTTGTTCTTAATAATTAAATATCTGAGAAAAAGATATTCAAAAAGTGGTTTTTTGTGCGTACTCATGATAAACAGTAACATAAAAAGTTACAGAGGTCGGGCCCAGTGGCTCACGCCTGTAATCCCAGCACTTTGGGAGGCCAAGGTGGGTGGATCACTTGAAGTCAGGAGTTTTAGACCAGCCTGGCCAACATGGTGAAACTCCATCTCTACTTAAAAAATAAATAAATAAATAAACAGGCATAGTGGCTCACGTCTGTAATCCCAGCTACTGGGGAGGCTGAGGTGGGAAAATCACTTGAGCCCAGGAGGCGGAAGCTGCACTGAGCCAAGATCACGCCATTGCCCTCCAGCCTGGGTGACAAAGCGAGACTCCATCTCAAAAAAAAAGAAAAGTTATAGAAATAAATATGATGATATGATTTACTGAAAGCAAGTCTCAAATGCCTAAAAAAGGCCAAACTTCCTTTGGTCTTTGGATATCATTCTGGAGGGTGGGTGAGTCTACTTTTGTTTCAAATGTGTTATTTTCATTTATTTTTGAGCAAAAATATCATTTTATAATTTACACTTATTGAACATAAATGTGGAAATACTACTAAATTGTCTCCACATGGAAAATTTCTTGTGACATGTATTTCATCTAACTTGTGAAGTTCACAACTATTTCAAAAAACAGTTAAGCTTGTTCCAAAAACTCACTGCCATCCCACCAAACACACATATGGACTTGAGAATAATTAGGCTTTCAGAAACCACTTTAGTATCCAATTAATTGTAGTTTTCTTCAGAAAGTGGTGTAAATCTGATTATATATAGTTGCTTCATGTAGTATAAATCTGATTATACACAGTTGTTTCATATAGTATATATCTGATGATATACAATTGCTTCATGTAGTTCAACTTGTTACTAGATAATCCATGTGTAATTGTCACAGAAAATCTTACGTGTACATTTGGACAATGTCTCTATCTCTGTTTCTTTCTCTCTGTTTCTCTCTCTCTCTCTCACACACACACACACAGTCCTTTACAATTACTTTGGGAAAAAAATCACAAAAAGGAAAAAATCATTAATCTGAGATTATAACATAAAATCCACAATTTGTCTGTAAACTATCTTTAAATCTATGTTTATACTTGAAATCTACTAGGCTTATGAGAGTCAAAGACTTCCAAGCTTTGAATATTCTTTTCACTTCAAAAGGAACTGAAAATCTAAATGTAATTTGGTACACCTTTTAAAATATTCACTGCTGCCTGCCAGCTAGCTGCAGGTTATTTTAGCTACTAGAAGCAGCACTAATTTGCAATATCTTTCTAAGACTATCTATAGGTAAAAATTTGACATTGGCTGACTCTAACCAATGTCAAGCTTTAGGATAGCAACGTAATCCCTAAAAGAAAAATGAGAAATAACCTAACTATCTAAACATCAAAAACAAATTAACCTTGCTTGCCCATTTTTAGGACAACATAACGGTTTCTTGAGATTTTCCAACATTTATGAAAAGATAAAAATTAAGATGAGTCATTTAATAGCATGCGTGCTTGAACCAATAAAATGATTTCTTATTTTATGAGTTGTTTTTAAAAAATGAGCCCAGATGTTTCAAATTATAAATAATTTGTCAATTTATGCATAAAGCCAAATTTGAAAAATGTGACTGGTCATTCCCATTAAGAAACTCAACTGAAAATCTGTTTCACTGAATCAAGCTTAAATAAGTAATTGTGTACTTAGATGTAGCTGAATTCTAAGAACTATTTGGACCACAACTTATAGACTATTTATATATTTTGCAAACTGTTTGCTGTTCTCTGACTTCAAGTAAGAGAGAGATATTAAGTGACAAATCATACAACGGAAAGGGAGAGCTATTAAGTGATAAATCATACAGTGGAAAGAGAGTTATATAGGAAGACTCTCCATTTTAACTCAGAATAAAATATGTAACCATCTTTAAGTTTTAATGGGGAGACCTGTGTGGCTGACTTTTTTTTTTCCCAATCTAGCTTCCTCATTTGGAAGAATGTTTTGTTTCTGTATATGAAAACTGAAGGATTTCTATTCAAGGCCACTGTGGTAGACAGAATAATGGCTTACTAAAATGTCGACGTCCTAATTTCTGGAACCTGTGAAAATGTCACCTTCCATGACAAAAAGGACATTGTAGAAGCAATTATTTAAGGATCTAGAGATGAGAATATTAAGATGGGTTATTTGGGTGTTCCAAATGTGAACCCAAGTGGAGTTCTTGTAAGACTGAGAAGATGCCTTCGAGTTAGGAAGGAGATGGGAGATGTGTTATGAAAGCAGAGGTTGGAGTGACAGAATTTCAAGATGGAGAAAGGGGTTATAGCCAAGAATCCAAGCAGCCTCAAGAGAGTAGAAGCTCTTGATTTTCACCTATGTGACTCTATTTTAGTCTTTACTTGCAGAACTGTAAGATAGTAGATTTGTGGTGTTTTAATCCACTAAGTTGGTAGTAATGTGCTCCAGCCACTATGAGACAAATACAGTATACACACACACACACACACACACACACACACATATATGTGTGTGGGTGTGTATTAGGAAAAGTAGTAAATCTAAATCTAGATTTTCTCATTCTCACCTAGGTTCTTATATTTTTAATTATATAACTAGTTACATAACATTATTTATATAATACTAGTTATATAACTAGTGCTCTATTATTTTCCTTCTATTTTAATTTTTCTGTTAAAAGAAAGTTTAAGAACATATGTATCCATATATGTATATACACATGCAGAAATATATATCTGTGTATGTGTGTGTGTTTATGAGTATATATATTCAAAGTTCTGAAACGTTTTTCAAAGCAATGCTGGCAATGGAATTCTCATTTCTATTTATCTTTTCTGTGGAGGTTTAAGTATGATTTATTTGGGAATTGCTACATTATCCTGACAAAAATATAACAGTAGTGGCAATATATAATCCCCCAAAAATGTTATATCTCCAGATAACTTTTAATGAGTTGGCATTGACTAGTATGAGAAATACAAGGCACAGAGAGTGATATGGTTTGGCTCTGTGCTGTCACCCAAATCTCATCTTGAATCGTAATTCCCATAATGCCCATGTGTTGAGGGGCCTGGTGGGAGGTGATTGGATCATGGGCACAGTTTCCCCTAGATGTTCTCATGATAGTGAATGAGTTCTCATGAGATCTGATGGTTTTACAAGTGTTTGACAGTGCCTCCTTCACATGCTCTCTCTCCCCTGCTGCCATGTAAGACGTGCCTGCTTCCCCTTCCACCATGATTGTAAGTTCCCTGAGGCCTCCCCAGCCGTGCAGAACTGTGAGTCAATTAAGCCTCTTTCCTTTGTAAATTACCCTGTCGCAGGTATTCTTTATAGCAATGTGAAAATGGATTAATACAGAGAGTCTACACATTTCTTTATATAAGATATACTTGTTTTCTGTTTATAGTTAGCAATTACAAAGTTTACAGTAAAATTTTTACTTACATTCATATAACATTTAAGTTATTCTCAAAATTTTATGCAACCATTTTAGATCTAAAGTGGACTTTGTTTTTTTCCATAGAATAAGTATTTTGTAGGACTTCTCTTCAATATTGGTGTGTAGAAAAAAAAATGTGAACTTCAAGTTTCAATCAATTAAACTTTTGCTTAAACTGAAAAACCATGCCAACACACAAAAAGGTCATCTGGGGTGTGCCATTACATTAGGATTACATACTGGTACTACACACTCAGTTGTGTAGGACATAAGAATGGATTATACTTAAACCTCTAAAGGATGGCCTGAATTAAAGTGATAGAAAATGGGAGTTAATATTGCTAGTGTTACCATGTAAAATTTAATAATTATTTGCTTAATTATTGTCTTATTAATTTAATAGTTTCTAAAGAGAAATTTCATTAACAAATTAACAGGAACAGCTACAAAATTTGCAGTGTTCAGTGCAAAATTAACATATAGGACATCTTACTCAAAAATTATTTAAAACTTGATACGAATGACACCAAAGAATTAGCCAAGTGATGGGCCCCTGCAAATGAGCAGATCACATAAATCTATCCCTGAACATCAATTAGTTATAAAAAAATAAGAATTTAAGGCTGGGACCCATAGCCATAATTTTACCCATACCTGCATTTATATCTGTATTTATATACCTGTAACAGTATTTAGATCTATTTATTCACAATCTCAGAATCAGATTGTAGAGACATTTAAAGATTAACTAATACAAACTTGTCCTCTTACAAAAGAGAAAACTGAGCCGCAGTGCTTTGATTGTATCAGTAGCTAATATTAGAAATAAAAGCAACACATTATCTTAAATATTTTATGTTTTTCTTATTACTACCAGTTTAGTGCTCCTATGTATTTTGTAGTACTTCTCTTCAATATTGGTGTGTAGAAAGAAAATGTGAACCCCGAGTTTAATCAATTAAACTTTGATTAAACTGAAAAACCATGGTCAATCCCAATACACAAAAGGGTCATCTGGGGTGTGCCATTGCATTAGGATTACATACTGGTACTATATGTTGCTGCTACATGCTATTTCACTCAGTCGTGTAGGACAGAAGAATGGATTATACTTAAACTTCTAAAGAATGACCTCAATTAAAGAGATAGAAAATGGGAGTTAATATTGTTAGTGTTGCCATGTAAAATTTAATAATTAATATAATGTCTCATATATTCCGTGGTGATTAATTGGTGTGGAATATTTAAGCCACGAGAATAAGTACTATAAAAGCAAGAATTTATAATAGGGTCTTTAATGATCAGTTCTGTTCTTACACAGCTTCTCCCCACTCCTACTCCTTGGAAGCAACCAAGTGGTATGAGTTGGCCCCTACTCACCCCCTCCCTGGTGTCAGTGGACCACATCAGGGAAGTGAGGTTATTTTTTCACTTGGAGGAAACAAAGATATGTAACTCAGTACCCTACTTTTGCCATGAGGTTGCCAGTGGGTGGAGGGAGAAGACAAACTTCCACCTAACCAGTCTGCAAGAAGGAAGTATAAGTTAGTACTCTACTTTTGGTAGGATGGTATTAGTAGGTCCCATCAGGAAGATAAACACGCACACCCACCCAGCTCTCAGGTTACACATCAATAGGGAACCATCTACGAAATAATAAGAGAGAAAAATTCTCATAATATAAAAAAAAATTCAGGACACAATAAAAATCACTTATAAGACAAAAGAACTAGGAAATCATAACCTGAATGAGAGAAAGACAACAGACACCAACACAGACATAAAAAAGGGGTTGGGGCTGGGCGCAGTGGCTCACACCTGTAATCCCAGCACTGTGGGAGGCCAAGATGGGTGGATCACTTGAGGTCAGGAGTTCAAGACCAGCCTGTCCAACATGGTGAAACCCCGCCTCTACTAAAAATATAAAAAGTTAGCTGGGTGCATTGGCACATGCCTGTAATCCCAGCTACTTGGGAGGCTGAGGCAGGAGAATCACTTGAACCTGGGAGATGGAGGTTGCAGTGAGCCAAGATCATACCGCTGCACTCCAGCCTGGGTAACAGAGTGAGACTGTTTCAGACAAAAAAAAAAAAAAAAAAAGAGGTTGGAATTATCTAACAAGGATTTTGAAGAAACCATCATAAAAGTGTTTAAATAAGCAATTATATATTGTATTCTCTTGGAACAAATAAAAGTTAAAATTAAAAATAAATTCAATAATGACTTATAAGTTATAAAAAATAAACATGAACTAAATAAAATTAAAATACAATAATGGAAATAATAGATGCAGAGGATGGTCACAAAAGAAGAGAGCACAGAGCAGAAGATGGAATCAGTGAATCTGAAAACATGCCAACAGAATTTACTGTCTGAACAAGAAGAAGAAAACCGATAAAAAAAAATTTAACAGCATTTCAGGAAACTTTAGAACAATAATAAAAGAGCTAACATTCATAATCACAGGAGATATAGAAGACGAGGAGATAGAATGTGGGACTAAAAAACTATTAAAAAATAATGACTTCAACCTTCCCAAATTAGATGGAAGACATAAACCTAAATATTCAAGAAACAGAGCAAACCCTAAATAGAATACACCCAAATACATTCAATTTCTGGAAATGAAAAAAAAAAATTAAAAATCTTGAAAGCAAACAGAGAAAAATGGCACATTTCTTACAGAAAAACAATAATGTAAACCACAGCAGATTTTCCATCTGAAACCATGAAGGTTGGAAGGAAACAGATAATATTTTTGAAGTACTGAAAGAACAGAACTGTGAACTGTAAATTCAATACCCAGCAATAATATTCTTCAGGCACTAAAGTGACATAGAAAACATTGTCTAATGAAAGAATGCTAAGGTAATGTGTTGCTAACAAACTTACCTTTAAAGAATAAGTTCTCTAAACAGAAAAGAAATGATAAAAGAAGAAGGTTTGCAGCTTTTACAAACATCCATCTAAATGGGTAAAATTAAGCATAAATATAATGTATAATCAAACTTCTCTTAAGTTTTTAAGCCATTTCTAATAGTTGAAGCAAAAATTAATGACCTATCTGGTTAGATGCTCAAGGAACATAGAGGAAGTATTTAAGATAATTATATCTAAAAAGTAGTGATAGTAAAGAGACTCATATGGAAACAAGTTTTCTACACTTCACTCAAAGAGGTAAAACATCATTAACAGTAGATCTTGACATTACACATATATTATTTTAACCAGTGCAATTAATAAAACCAAACAAAATCATGTACAATCATGCACTGCATAACGATGTTTTGCTCAGCAGTAGACTGCATATATCATGGTGGTCCCATAAGATTATAATGGAGATGAATATTACCTAGTGACATTGCAGCTGAGCTGTCTTAACATCATAGTCTAACATATTTCTCACCTGTTTGTGGCAATGATGGTGTAAACAAACCTACTTCATTGCCAGTTATATAAAAGTGTAGCACATAAAATTCTGTCTAGTACTGATATTGTTTGGCTGTGTCCCCACCCAAATCTCATCTTGAATTGTAATCCTCATGATCCTCCCGTGTCAAGGGCAAGACCCGGTGGGAAGTGATTGGATCCTGGAGGCAGTTTCCCTCATGCTGTTCTCATGATAGTGAGTAAGTTTTCATGAGATCCGATGGTTTTAAAAGTGTTTGAAAATTTCTCCTAGACACACTCATTCTCTCCTGTTGCCTTTTGAAGAAGCCAACTGCTTTTATTCCACCATGATTGTAAGTTTTCTGAGGCCTCTCCAGCCATGCAGAACTATGAGTCAATTAACCCTCTTTCCTTTATAAATTACCCTGTCTTGGGTAGTATCTTTATAGCAGTGTGAGAACAGACTAATAGAGTAAATTGGTACTGGGAGTGGGGCACTGCTATAAAGATACTGAAAATGAGGAAGTGACTTTAGAACTGGGTATCGGGCAGAGGTTGGAAGTGTTTGGAGGGCTCAGAAGAAGACAGGAAGTTGTGAGAAAGTTTGAAACTTCCTAGGGACCTGTGGAATGGTTTTGACCAAAATGCTGATAGTGATATAGACAGTGAAGTCCAAGCTGAGGTGGTCTTGGATGGACAAGAACTCATTAGGAACTAGAGCCCAAAGATCACTGTTACTCTGCCTTAGCAAAGAGACTGGAAGCATTTTGCCCCTGTCCTAGAGATCTGTGGAACTTTTAATTTGAGAAACATTATCTCAAATTGGAACTTATGTTTAAAATGGAAGCAGGGCATAAAAGTTTGGAAAATTTGCAGCCGGACCATGCAGTAGAAAAGAAAAACCCATTTTTCAGGGGAGGAATTCAAGCTGGCTACAGAAATTTGCCTAAATAACAAGAAGCCAAATGTTATTACAGTAGCCAAAACAATGGCAAAATTTTTCTTGGGCGTATCAGAGACTTCCATGGCAGCCCTTCTCATCACAGACCCAGCAGCCTCTGAGGGAAAAATGGTTTCATGGGCTGGGCCTAGGGCCCCGTTACTCTGGGCAACCTCAGGACTTGGTGCCCTGTGTCCCAGCTGCTGCTACTCCAGCTCCAGCCGTGGCTAAAAGGAGCCAATGTACAGCTCATCTGTTGATTCAGAGGGTGCAAGCCCCAAGCCTTGGAGGATTCCATATGGTGTTGGGCCTGAGGGTACACAGAAGTCAAGAATTCAGGTGTGGAAACCTCTGCCTAGATTTCATAGGTTGTATGGAAATGCCAGGATGTCCAGGCCGAGATTGGTTGCAGGGGTGGAGCCATCATGGAGAACCTCTGCTAGGGTAGTGCAGAAGGAAAATGTGGGGTTGGAGCTCCCACACAGATTCCCCACTGGGGCACTGCCTAGTGAAGCTATGAGAAGAGGGCCACTGTTCTCCAGACCCCTGAATGGAAGATCCACCAACAGCTTGTACTGTGCACCTGGAAAAGCCACAGACACTCAATGCCAGCCTGTGAAGGAACTGCCCAAGGCCATGGGAGCCCACCCCTTGCATTAACATGCCCTGGATGTGAAACATGGAGACAAGGAGATTATTTTAAAGCTTTAAGTTTTAATGACTGCCCTGCTGGGTTTCAGACTTTCATGGGGCCTGCATCCCCTTTGTTTTGACTAATTTCTCCCATTTGGAATGGGAGCATTTATCCAATTCTTGTACCCTCATGGTATCTAGGAAGTAACTAACTTGCTTTTGATTTTACAGGCTTATAGGCCAAAACGTCTTGCCTTGTCTCAGATGAGACTTTGAACTGTGGGCTGTTGAGTTACTGCTGAAATGATTTAAGACTCTGGGGGACTGTTAGGAAGGCATGATGTTGGGTTGGAAATGTAAAAAATATGTGAGATCTGGGAGGGGCCAGGGGTGGAATGATATATTTTGGCTCTATATCCCCACCCAAATCTCATCTTGAATTGTAATCTTCATAATACCCATGTGTTGAGGGCAGGATCTGGTGGAAGGTGATTGGATCATGTGGGCGGTTTCTGCCATACTGTTCTTACGATAGTGAGTGAGTTCTCAGGAGATCTGATGGTTTTGTTAAGTGTTTCACAGCTCCTCCTACACACAATCCTTCTCTCTCCTGTTGTCTTGTGAAGAAGATGACTGCTTCCCATTTCACCATGATTGTAAGTTCCATGAGGCCTCCTCAGCCATGCAGAACTGTGACTCAATTAAACCTCTTTCCTTTATGAATTACCCAATCTCGGGTAGTGTCTTTATAGTAGTGTGAGAATGGACTAATACAAGTACATTTTACTTAGTAATAATAATAAACAAATATATTACATTTTTGTGTATTTACTACACCATATTTTTTATTGTTATTGTAGTGTACACCTTCTACTTATTAAAAGAAATAGGCCCGAGGTGGGCAGATCACGAGGTCAGGAGATGGAGACCATCCTGGCTAACATGGTGAAACCCCATCTCTACTAAAAATACAAAAAATTAGCCAGGCCTGGTGGGGGGCGCCTATATTCCCAGCTATTCGGGAGGCTGAGGCAGGAGAATGGCGTGAACCCAGGAGGCGGAGCTTGCAGTGAGCCGAGATCACGCCACTGCACTCCAGCCTGGGCGACAGAGCGAGACTCTGTCTCAAAAAAAAAAAAAAAAAAAAGTAATAGGCAACTGTAAAACAGCCTCACAGTGGTCCTTCACGAGGCATTTCAGAGGGCATTGTTATCATAGATGTCGACAGATCCATATGCATTATTGGCCTAGAGGAGCTTCCAGTGGGACAAGATCTGGAGGTAGAAAACAGTGATGTTGATCATACTGACCCTGTGTAGGCCTACGCTAGTATGTGCATTTGTGTCTTTGTTTTTAACAACAACAACAAAAAAATTAAAAATTAAAAGATGTAAAATTACAAAAAAATCTTAGAGAATAAGGATATAAGGAAATAAAGTATTTCTGTGTACAATATGTGTTTTAAGCTAAGTGTTGTTACAAAAGAGTCAAAAAGTTAAAAATAAGTTAAAAAGTTTATAAAGTAAAAAAGTTACTGTAGGATAAGTTTAATGTATTTTGAAAGAAATAAGTTTCTTTATAAATTTTATAAATTCAGTGTTTATAAAGTCTACAGTTTTGTACAATGATGCCCTAGGCATTTACGCTCACTCACCACTTACTCACTAACTCTCCCAGAGCAACTCCTAGCCCTGCAAACTTCATTTATAGTAAGTGCCCTAATCAGGTATACCATTTTTGATGTTTTGACTGGATTTTTTACTGTACCTTTTTTTATGTTTAGATACACAAATATTTACCGTTGTGTTGCAGATGCCTACAGTATTCAGCACAGTAACATGCTGTATAGGTTTGTAGCCTAGGATCAATAGGCTGTACCACATAACCTAGGGTGAGTAGTAGGTTATGCTATCTCTATTTACACATAGAATACACTATATGATGTTACACAGTGAAGAAATTGCCTAATGCATTTCTCAGAATGTAATTTTTGTCATTAAGTGATGCAACATTGTATTTAAAACACTATAAATAAATTAAGATGGAAACTTAACATGTTTATGTAACCCATTGGAAAGCAAGAAAAAGACACAGAGGAATAAGAAACAGAAACAAACAGAAACAAATAACAAAGTGGTAGACATCAACCACAACATACAAATTGTTAAACATAAAAGGCCTATAGAAACCAACTAAAAAACATAGATTGGCAGAGTAGTTAAAAAAACAAAAATCAAAAACGAAAAACCATGGCCAACAATATTGTCCAAATTGCATTTGTACCCCATAAATAAATAATTTTTAAAATTCTGTCTATATAAAACTAACTTCAAATACAGCATAGGTAAGATAAAAGTAAAAAGAGAGAACCAGTAAAATAATTTAAAAATGCAAGTGAGGTTATAGTAATATATCAGCTACATAAATTTTATTTTATTTATTATTATTATTATTATTATTATTTTGAGACAGAGTGTCGCTCTGTCACCCAGGCTGGAGTGCAGTGGAGCAATCTCAAACTCACTGCAAGCTCCACCTCCCAGGTTCATGCCATTCTCCTGCCTCAGCCTCCCGAGTAGCTGGTACTACAGGTGCCCACCACCACGCCCAGCTAATTTTTTTGTGTTTTTAGTAGAGACGGGGTTTCACCGTGTTAGCTAGGATGGTCTCGATCTCCTGACCTTGTGATCCTCCAGTCTCAGCCTCCCAAAGTGCTGGGATTACAGGCATGAGCCAGGGTGCCCGGCCCAGCTACATAAATTTTAAAAAGTAAAAAAAGTCAAATTGCGTTTTTAAATATTTTACATTCCATTGCCATTCAAAGAAATAACATTGTTTTCAATACGATTAAGCAAGTATCATTAGACCTAGAAATAGCCACAATCATTTCTTTAAAAGATTATTAATATTTATTTATTTATTTATTTATTTTTAGGCGGAGTCTCACTCTGTTCACCAAGCTGGAGTGCAGTGGTGCAGTCTCAGCTCACTGCAATTTCTGCCTCACCCTCCCAAGTAATTGGGATTACAGGCACGTGCCACCACATATGGCTAATTTTTGTATTTTTAGTAGAGACTAATTTTTGTACTTTTAGTAGAGACAGGGTTTCACCATATTGGCCAGGCTGGTCACAAACTCCTGACCTCAGGTGATTGGCCCGCATCAGCCTCCCAAAGTGCTGGGATTACAGGCATAAGTCATCGTGCCCAGCTAAGATTACTAATATTTATAAGCTCTACCTTCTTTCTTGGAGAAATGACTTTATAATTTCACTTTCTAATTCAGTTACCTGTTGAAACTAAATTAAAATATATTCATATGCAAAATGCAAGTAAATAAAAACAGCAGCTTTCTCTATGCTAAAAGGAAGTTCCTTTGGAGCTCATTTCCTTGACAACGCAAGAAAGTACTTCACTGCACTATCTTCATTATGCAAATAAAGGTGCATTTTAGCTCTTTGAAGAAGAAGAGGAAGAACATGTCTCTCAAATGGCAGGAAAGAACAAATTTCCTTAAGGAAGAGTGAGGGAAAGTTCATCAACACCAACCCTAGGTACATCTTCATTCAGACTTGAAAAGCTTTTGAATAGCGTCTGTTTATTCCTGTTAGAACTGAACTGGCAGGAAAAGACAATGGAGAAGCCACAAAGAGGAGTAGCTAGGTAGCAGCATTCAGGTCCACAATGCCTGGATTTCATTATTATTATTCTACTGTATCTTCAGGCAGTTTATGTAAATCATGTTATTGAGTTCTCTCATCTGGAAGATGAGAGTACTAATAGTTCCAGCGTTCTTACATTAGTGCTGCTGCCATTAGTTATCATCATTTAAGTGTCTGTTCTTATTGTTCAAAGAGTGACTGGCAGTTGAGAGTCCCTGGGACCTGAAGTAGGGAGGTAGAGAATTTTGCATTGGAGTATACTGTTATCTTAACCTTGGAGGCCTGAGTGTTCTTAGGTAAAAGACTGCTTTGGAGGCTGCAAATGGAACTAGAATCCCACCAGATCACAGCCATCTGACTTGGTTGCATTTTTATGGAAACCAGCGTGTTGAGGATGTGAGACTGATATAAAAGCACTAGGATATTCACAGGGTAAAAGTCAGGAGGATCATAACAGCACAGTACTAGAGAACCAGTACGTAGTGGTGTGATGAATGAAAGCCACTGACATAACTTTCGCATCTTGTCTTCCTGTATTCTTTCTTTCTGTGACAGTTGTTGAGATCATGACCTCTTCTGGAATGGTGTTCTCAGAAGTCCTTGGACAATCAGGGTGTACTAGGAGAAAACATGCTGTGAGATGGGATGAAAGTCTTCAGGATGGACACTATACTTTCTGTTATTGGAGGATTCGGTAGTTTGAATAAGCGTTTGAATGAATAAAATATTTGAGTTGAGGACTAAATTCTGATTTTTTTTTTTCATCTTGCCCAAATTCCTATTTAAAGAAACTGGGAGTCAGCCCTACGAATGATAACATCTCTTTACATGGGTTTTTTATTAACCCTATATAATGTGGCTTGCTTTCCAACCTGACTCTGGTACAGCATCACATAACAGACAGCAGACCCTGAAGGATATAAAAATATTTTGCCCTAAAATATATTTCTTTGATGTCTTTTGAAATGGCTGTTGCAAGGCCAGCAAACTGAGGTAGAGGAAATTTGCATCTATGGAGAATCTTCATTAATGCAGCCATGCTTCCCCTTTCTATGCCTTTCCAGGACCTAGGAGTGATTGAGAGTCTGATACCTTTAAAGGTCTGAAAAGAAACATTTACCATCTATTCTCTCTGAGGGCCACCTATGAGGCTTCATCTACTTAATAAGATCCTTGGTCTTTCCCCCACTCTTATCTGAACTCAGGCATTCCTTTCTATCGATTTCAAGACTTTAGACGATAGCATAACTCTCTCAACCAATTGTCAACTAAAGGATCCCTAAAAGCCCCTTATGACGTACAAGCTCCTACCCTGACCTACCTGCAATTACCTGCAGTTGGTTGTCTCCTTGGAATGTATAAAACCAAAGTGTAACCCGGTTGCCTTGGGCACGCTTTCAGAACCTCTTGAGATAGTGTAACCCAGGCCTTGGTCACTTATACTGGCTCTGAATAAACCTCTTTAAATATATTTTGACAGAATTTGGTTTTTGTGTATTTTTCTGTGTATTTCTACCTCTGAGAAGAGGAGTAATTTATACTCTTTAAAAATCATGGTCAGGTATGACTGGTGCTAGAATGAGGATGAAGGGAAGAGAAAGGGAAGAAATAATTCTCCACTCTTTGTTTCCAATTTTAGTTCTTTAAAGTAAAAGTACAAAACATTTTGTAGAGATGTAGTTTGTGGTGGCATGGTTGAAAAACTTCTGCAGTTTATGATTCCTCCACTACAGTGTGATAATGTTTTAAATAGCATTTAAAATGTAGATTCTGTCCAATCCTTACAATTAACTTTTTTATTGTTTGGAATCCATGAAGTTGGTATATGCATGAGCAGATACATATTTATTTAAGAAAAAAAATTAGGCCTTACAGAAAATTGGTTTCTCAGAGACATGATAAAAGTTACCAGATAATGTCTCTCAGACTATATCTATGAAAAAATACATAACCAAATAGACACCAATTGCAAATGAATTAATTACATTGAAATTCTAATAACTTTCATTTCCTAAACTGACATTGATGGAAAAGAATTCTAAGATATAAAATAAGCTCTACTTCATCCTGCTTTCAATAGCACATGATTTAATCAGAATATATAAGTAATACTGTTGAGCACATAAATATTATTTTCATTACTTGATGATAATTATGACTATTTTCATTGCTATAATTTTGGTCATGCCATATTGATTAGCAATAAAATATATACTTAGCTAGAGAGGCAGCTAATCCAAAACTTTTGGGATTTCTTTTTTTTTTTAGATTATTGGTGCTCCTCCTCCTGTCATTGAGGTTAAAATTAAATGTTACATATTCCTTCTCTGTGTATGTGTATCTTATTTCCTCATATTCTACCTCTTCAGAGTAGTGTGTGTGAGTGCATGCACACACACTTGCATGTGAGAGCTTCTAATATCTAAATTAATGTTGAATCATTATTCAGAAACAAAGAGAGCTAACTGTTATCCTGACTTTATTCTTTATGAAGAAAAATACAGTGATTCCAAGTTACCAAGTTAGTGCTGCTTTATTTATAAATGAAGTAACATTTTACAAGTTGTGCATAAGTTAAAATTCAGAAATAAAACTTCATCCTAAAACTCTGTGTGTTGCTTTAAATAATCAGAGCATCTGCCTACTTAATTTTTTTTGTGTGGGTGCACAATAGATGTTTAATGAGATCCTGTCATCTGTCTGCTTTTTTATTGTAAAACAGGAGGGGTTTTAATCCTGGAGGAACAACTGATGTACCTCTGAAAAAGAGAGGGATTAGTTATTAATTGAATTGAGGGTTGTCTTGTCTTAGTAGCTTTTATTCTCTAGGTACTATTTGATTATGATTGTGAAAATAGAATTTATCCCTCATTAAATGTAAAATCAACAGGAGAATAGCAAAAACTTATGAGATAGATGAACATTGTGTGAGTGGAATGGTTTAATTTGTTTGGAAGAAGCACTTGCCCCAGAAGATACACAATGAAATTCATGTTATTGAGTAGAGTAGTAATACAGTGTGTTCCCTTGTGAAGTTCATAACCAAGAATTATTTTAGTAGTGGATAGGTAGGCTGAATAATTGACTTCCTATCATTTTCAGGTTCTGTGTTTGATTTTTTTTACATATTAATTTCTTTGATCCACATTAAGCTCAGTTATGTATTTCCATTTTATAAATGAAAAAAAAAAAATAGGCACTTGCAAATGTCAGATCACTTGCCTGTGGTCATTCGGGTAGAGATTTGTGAAGCTAAGTTGGTCTTAATCAAATGTCAAGCTTTTTTTTTTCTTATAAAATATAGATTTTAATATGAGTTTTAAAATAAAATTAATTAGAAAAAGGCAAATTACTCAATATATAAAATGTATTGCATTTGTAATAGGTAGGTATTTCATTTTCTAGTTATGGTGGGATATTATTCAGACTATAATTCCCAATGAAAAAACTTTAAAAAATGCTAGTGATTGCACATTTAAAACACCTTTTAAAAAGCATTGAGAGCTTATAAAATTTTAATAAGTGATCAAACCAAATTTGAAGAGAAAAGAAGAACCCAGAGAGGTAAGGATATAACCTTACCAGTTGCAATTTGCCGATCTCTACAAATATTAATATTTATTTTGACAGTTTCAGGGTGAATGAGAAAGAAACCAAAACCGAAGATTAGCATATGTTAAGTCTTCTTAAGGAGCCCTCCCTTAAAAGATTGAGATGACCAAATCTTATACCCTCAGCATAAGGTGAACCAGACAGACCTAAAGCAGTGGTAGCTTGGATCCACTACTTGGGTTTGTGTGACTGCGTGACTCAGGTAATCTCAAAAATTGAACATTTTTTTAAGGTGGTCCTACTCGTATGCCCAGGTGTTAGGGAGAAGCAAATCTGAATGCTTTATAAAAATACCCTGAAGCTAAATCTTACAATATTCTCAAGAACACAGTGAAACAAGGCAAAATAAGTTAAAATCAACAAAAACAACATGAAACATAATTAGAACCACAAAGACTTCAAACATTGGACAATATCAGAGAAAGATAATAAATATTTTACTCTTTAAAAATTTAGTTAAAAGCTTAAACTAATTGTAGAGAAAAAACTGTGTTAGTATTATATTGTAGATGAAATAAGCAAAACATTTAAAATACAAATGTGGTTACTTAAATTAAATATAATAGATAATTTACCACCAGATTAGATACCATTGAAGGAATAATTAATATACTGAAATACAGGTCAGTAGAAGTTTTTTTCAATTCAGCATGGAGATGTAAAAAATGAAAATTAATGCAAAAAATAAGGGCACAAAAAGAAATGAGTAATTTTGATCAGAAATGTATTAAAATTAATAAACTGGAAATTTGACATTTAAAAAAAAGCATTGTCATCCAAGTAGATGTGTCTATTAAATAGTTGTTCTCATATCCAGTAATGTAATTCTTATTCCCCCTCATGCAGTTCAGATTCTGGGGTAATCTTTAGACATCAGTTTTATCTTTTATATTATTTATTCTGTTTACTACATTTTATTTTGCTAATGATATTTTTAATTTCTGACATTCTGGAGTATTGCTCGTAAAAGGTATTTTTAAAAATATTTTATGGTTATTTTTGTGATTCCTATTCCTGTATGGACACCAAGGCTATTGACATTTTCTTTAGTTTCTTCTGTTAATTCTATTTTCTTAGTGTTTATATCATTTCATAGATAGGATATTCTTTATTTTTTATTTTTATTTAAATATTTGGTGATTCTTGGTTTTCTCAGCCATCTATTGTCAAGTGTTCTTATTAAGCATTATTATTAAATAAAGATTATTTCCTCTAATCACATGAGAATCTTTATTTCCCCCAAGTAATTGAAAATTGCAATGCCATGCTGCCATGTGGTACAGCATGGGTTTGGGCTTGCTTTCTTCTTTTTTTTTTAACTTTTATTTTAGGTTTGGGAGTACCTGTGAAAGTTTGTTATATAGGTAAACTCGTGTCATCAGGGTTTGTTGTACAGATCATTTTGTCACCTAGGTACCAAGTACTCAACAATTATTTTTCCTGCTCCTCTGTCTCCTGTCACCCTCCACTCTCAAGTAGACTCCAGTGTCTGCTGTTCCCTTCTTTGTGTCCATGTGTTCTCATAATTTAGTTCCCCACTTGTAAGTGAGAGCATGCAGTATTTTCTAGTATTTGGTTTTTTGTTCCTGTGTTAATTTGTCCAGTATAATAGCCTCCAGCTCCATCCATGTTACTGCAAAGAACGTGATCTCATTCTTTTTTATAGCTCCATGGTGTCTATATACCACATTTTCTTTATCTAAACTCTTATTGATGAGCATTGAGGTTGATTCTATGTCTTTGCCATTGTGCATATTGCTGCAATGAACATTTGTGTGCATGTGTCTTTATGGTAGAATGATATATTTTCTTCTGGGTATATATGCAGTAATGCGATTGCTGGTTGGAATGGTAGTTCTGCTTTTATCTCTTTGAGGAATTGCCATGCTGCTTTCCACAATAGTTGAACTAACTTACACTCCCACTAACAGTGTGTGTTTCCTTTTCTCCACAACCTGCCAGCATCTGTTATTTTTTGACATTTTAATAGTAGCCATTTTAACTGGTATGAAATTATATTTCATTGTGGTTTTAATTTGCATTTCTCTAATGATCAGTGATATTGAGTTTTTTTTTTTTTTCACATGCTTGTTGGCTACATGTATGTCTTCTTTTGAAAAGTGTCTGTTCATGTACTTTGCCCACATTTTAGTGGGGTTGTTTTTCTCTTGTAAATTTGTTTAAATTCCTTATAGGTGCTGGATTTTAGACATTTGTCAGACGCATAGTTTGCAAATAGTTTCTCCCATTCTGTAGGTTGTCTGTTTATTTTGTCAATAGTTTCTTTTGCTATGCAGAAGCTCTTAATAAGTTTAATGAGATCCTGATATGTTTAGGCTTTGTATCCCCACCCAAATCTCATCTTGAATTATAATCTCCATAATCACCACATGGAGAGACCAGGTGGAGGTAATTGAATCTGGGGGTGGTTTCACCCATGCTGTTCTTGTGATAGTGAATGAGTTCTCACGAGATCTAATGGTTTTATGAGGGGCTCTTCCCAGCTTTGCCTGGTACTTCTCCTTCCTGCCGCCTTGTGAAAAAGGTGCATTGCATCCCTTTCACCTTCTCCTATAATTGTAAGTTTCCTGAGGCCTTCCCAGCCATGCTGAACTTCAAGTCAATTAAACCTTTTTCTTTATAAATTACTCAGTCTCTGGTGGTTCTTTATAGCAGTGTGAAAATGGACTAATGAAGTTCCCATTTATGAATTTTTGCTTTTGTTGCAATTGCTTTTGACATCTTAGTCATGAAATCCTTGCCTGTTCTAAGTCCAGGATGGTATTGCCTAGGTTGTCTTCCAGGGTTTTTCTAATTTTGTGTTTTGCATTTAAGTGTTTAATCCATCTTGAGTTGATTTTTGTATATTGTGTATGGAAGGGGTCCAGTTTCAATCTTTTGCATATGGCTAGTTAGTTATCCCAGTACCATTTATTGAAAAGACAGTCTTTTCCCCATTGCTCGTTTTTGTCAGTTTTATTGATGATCAGATAATCATAGCTGTGTGGCTTTATTTCTGGGTTCTCTATTCTGTTCTATTGGTTTATGTCCCTGTTTTTGTGCCAGCACCATGCTGTTTTGGTTAACATAGCCCTGTAGTATAGTTTGAGGTCAGATAGCCTGATGCTTCCAGCTTTGTTCTTTTTCTTAAGATTGCCTTGGCTATTTGGCCTCTTTTTTGGTTCCACATGAATTTTAAAACAGTTGTTTCTAGTTTTGTGAAGAATGTCATTGGTAGTTTGATAGAAATAGCATTTAATCTGTAAATTGCTTTGTGCAGTATGGCCTTTTAATGATATTGCTTCTTCCTATCCATGAGCATGATATGTTTTCCATTTTGTTTGTATCCTCTCTGATTTCTTTGTGCAGTGTTTTGTAATTCTCATTGTAGAGATTTTTCACCTCCCTGGTTAGTTGTATTTTACCCTAGATATTTTTATTCTTTTTGTGAAAATTGTGAATGGGATTGCCTTCCTGATTTGACTGCCAGCTTGGTTACTGTTGGTTTATAGAAATGCTAGTGATTTTTGTACATTGATTTTCTTTCTAAAACTTTGCTGAAGTTTTTTTTATTAGCAGAAGGAGCTTTGGGGCTGAGACTATGGGGTTTTCTAGATATAGAATCATGTCAGCTTCAAATAGGGATAATTTTACTTCCTCTCTTCCTATTTGGATGCCCTTTATTTCTTTCTCTTGCCTGATTACTCTGGCTGGGATTTCCTATGTTGAATAGGAGTCATGAGAGAGGGCATCAAATCTACACATATCAAATACTAACCTTGAATGTAAGTGGGCTAAATGCCCCACTTAAAAGGTAAAGGGGGGCAAGCTGAATAAAAAAGCAAGACTCAATGGTATGCTGTCTTTGAGACCTATCTCACATGTGATGACACCCATCGGCTCAAAATAAAGGAATGGAGGAAAATCTACCAAGCATGTAGAAAACAGAAAAAAGCAGGGGTTGCATCCTAATTTCAGACCAAACAGACGTCAAACAAACAAAGTTCAAAAAAGACAAAGAAGGGGCCGGGAGTGGTGGCTCACACCTGTAATCCCAGCACTTTGGGAGGCCAAGGTGGGCGGATTACAAGGTCAGGAGATCGAGACCATCCTGGCCAACATTGTGAAACCCCATCTCTACTAAAATCCAAAAAAAAAAAAAAAAAAAATAAGCTGGGCTTGGTGGTGTGTGCCTGTAGTCCCAGCTACTCGGGAGGCTGAGGCAGGAGAATCACTTGAACCCGGGAGGCGGAGATTGCAGTGAGCTGAGATTATGCCACTGCACTATAGCCTGGCGACAGAGTGAGGCTCCGTCTCAAAAAAAAAAAAAAAAAAAAAGACGAAGGGCATTACATAATGATGAAGGGTTTTACTCAACAAGAAGACCTTACTAACCTAAATATATATGCACCCAACACAGGAACCCCCAGATTCATAAAGTAAGTTCTTAGAGTACAAAGAGGCTCCCACACAATAATAGTAGGAGACTTTAACACACCACTGATAGTCATAGACAGATCATCAAGGTAGAAAATTAACAATGATATTCAGGATCTGAACCCAACATTCCACCGAATGAGTCTGATAGACATCTACAGAACTCTCCATCCAAAAACAACAGAATATACATTCTTCTCATCTCCACATGGCACATGCTCTAAAATTGACCACATAATGCCTTTCTTTTCAGTGGTCCATATGTAAGTCTTTTGAAAGTGGCAGCATCTCTACTGCTCATGCTTGTTGCAAGGAACTCTACTGAATACAAGGAACTTTACTAATCTCTAATGCTTGTGAGTAGATTCTGAACTCATCATTTAGAAAGCTAAACTGGGGGCTTTCTTCCCAGAGCAAAGACATAAAACAAACCTCAATTGAGCGTGGGACAGGGAGTCATGTGCTATAAATTTCTTGGACAGTTCTTATTCTATGGACCAATTACCATTCCCTTGTATCTCTAATTTTGGGATTATTTCTGGATTAAAACACAAAAAAAATCAGACTGTAAAAAGTCATCATTTCTACCAGTGTGAGAATATGTATTCCTCACCTTTACTGGGATTCACTGCCAGTATATATGCAAATGACTTATACACACACATACACACACGCACATACACACACACGTGTGTGTGTGTAGGTATGTCTGTAATAGGTATTTATATGTTTGCCTGTCTTTCTATTAGAATTGAGATACAGCAAAATGCACAGAAATTAAGCATTCAATTTAGTAAGTTTTCACAAATGTACATATTTAATCAATATCTCAATCAACACAAAAACCATTGTTTCACCTCTGAAGATAATTTTTAATCTTTTGCAAATTATTGAGACTTATTTAATGACCGAGACTACACAGTCCTTCGTAAACATTCCATGTAAATTTGATAAAAATATTTTCATGAAATTTTTTGTGTAGTGTTCTAAAACTTGAAATTAGACTACATTAGTTGATAGTATTATTAGAATCTTCCAAATCCTTACTAATTTTTATTTGTTCATCTATTGTTTATTTTGAGCCGATGATTAAAATCTTCAACTATGAGTGAAAGTCTATTTCTCTGTTTAGTTCTGTCTGTTTTTACTTCATGCATTTTGACACTCTGTTATCAGTTGTATAAAAACATTGAGAATTATAATGCATTGCTAATGAGCTTAACCTTTTATCATTCCATCTCTGATATTTCAGCTTATTTTGAATCCTACTTTCTCTGGTATTAGCCAGCTACATCAGTTTTACTTCCTTTCATTTTCAACCAATTTTATGACTCCATCTCAAAAAAAAAATGCATTCATTATACAGAGCATATAGTTTTGTCCTTTTTAAATCCAGTCTCAAAATTGCTAGCTCTTAATTTAAGTGTGTTATGGGTTGAATTGTCTGCCAAAAAAAACATACGTTGAAGTCCTTACCCCAGTAATTAAGGATGCAACCTTATTGAAAGATAGGATCTTTATAGATGTAATCAAGTCAAAATGGGATCATTAGAGTGGCCTGTAATCCAATGTGACTGGTGGCCTTATGAAAGGGGGAAATTTGGACACAAAAATGCCACCAGAAAGCACAACATATGAACATGAAGAAAGCCATCTAAAAGCCACGGAGAGATGTCTAGAACAGATTCTTCTTCACAGCCTTTAGAAGGAACCAGTACCTTGAATTCAGACTTCTAGCCTTCAGGACTTGAGATAATACATTTTTGTTGCTTGAGGCACCTAGTTTATGGTACTTTGTTATATAACCCTAGGAAACTAATATAAATGTTCAATCCATTTACATTTAATCAGTGATGTCAGTGTTGTTAAATCTACCATGTTACTATTTGCCTACTATTTTCTTATTTGGGTGTTGTTCTCTTCCCTTGGTTGTTGATATTTCTTTCTTCACCGGTTCAGTGTTACCTTCCTTAGAGTAAATGGATATTTTTCAATATTTCATTTTAATTATGCTATTGGCTTTATACCCTTCATACATGTGTTCTTGTTGATTCGATGTTCTTGGATCTCTGCATTGAAATTTTTCATCAAAATTTGAAAACACTGGCAATTATTTCTTCAAATATATTTTTTCTTTCCCATTTTCTGACTCATCCTTTTGAGACTTCATTTGTGTATAGGTTTGATGGCTTGATATCCCATGTCATTCAATCTCTTATTTTAATCATTTTCCTCTTTTGTTTGAGATTAGATAAATTCAAAAATGGTTTTCAAGGTTATTTGTCTGCTTTTCAGAGAGCTGAAATCTGAGAGTATACCCTGCCAGTGACTCTTTCATTGTATATTTTGCACTTGTTACTTCAACAATGTTCATTTCTCAAAATTACCTTTTTTGTTCTATCATTGTGACAATATCTCCATAGTCTAAGGACATATTCATAATATATATCTGTTGATTTCAATGCCTGGGTCATTATGATGTATGTTCTATTGACTGCTTTTTCCCCCTTGATTATTTATTAAATTTTCCTGCTTCTTTGCGTAACTTGTATTTTTGACTAATACACTGTAGAAAATCTAGACGTTGTCTTCTTGTAAAAGGCCCTAAGATAGTCCTTTGAAAGCTGTTAAGTGGCTTCCAGATCCTTTTGATCTGCCATGCCTGGTTTCATTATTTGTTAATGAAAATCTCTTTCATTTTTGTTCTTAAAGATAGGACATAGTCTTTACTGAAAGAAATAGTCCTTGTTCTTAATGCCTGGAATATTCCGTAAAATATCTTCCCTGTGGCTAGTCAGTAACCCAAACATCTCCTTGTCCTGTTACTACTGATATCTTATTCCCACAGTATCTGCTTTCAGCAGGTCTTGCAGATGTTAACCCTGCTCAGGTATAGAGCAGCTTTTGACGAAATTGGTGCCAAATACTTATTCTGGCTTCTGTAGGCCTACCCCATGCCTCTTTTTCCTTTCCTATACAAATTTCAGCCACTTCAGCAGCTCTTAAATAACAACCACTTAAGCAAGTGTAAGCTATTTACAAATATCGATAGATAGATAGATAGATAGAGAGAGAGATGATATAGATAGAGATTTAATTGTAATTTTAGATTCAGGGGGTATATGTGCAGGTTTGTTACAAAGTTATATTGCTTGCTGCTACTGTTTGGGCTTCCACTGATCCTGTCACCCAGGTAGTGAACTGAATACCTAACAGGAAGTTCCTTGGCTCTTGTCCCTCTACCCCTACCTCTTTTTGGAACCTAATTAAACTAAGAGCTTCTGCATAGCAAAAGAAATTATCAACAAATAAGCAGACAACCTACAAAATGAGAGCTTTAAGCTTTAATTTCTTCCTCTAAACTCATTATTTTTAGAGTCTGCCTCCTTGTTTAATGGGAGAAAAAGTGCCCCTAGTCACATTCTCTGGTTAAATGTGGTACTTACCTCACAGCTTTCTTCTCTCTTGAGTATGAAAAACTTGTACTTCTTGTTTGATGCATAAAATCTGGTTCCTCATATATGTTGCCCAGTTTTATCATTGTTTATAGTGAAAAGGCAAGTCCCTCCAATAATTCTATTATGGCCAAAGACTAAAGTGCCTCTGATATGACTTATGTCCTTCAGAAATTGCTTACTCTTTAGTCTGTTGGTAGAATTCTTCTCAACTTTCCATAGTTATTTTAATAAGTACTATATTTTCCTATTTCAATGGCAATTTGGAATAAAGGAGAAATAAATGTATTTGTTTGGTCCATCTTTGTGTATTCAAACTGTTAAGTCATTACTTTTCACGTCCACTACACATATTACTGCACAGTAATTCCTTGTTTACACCTATAATCTCCCTCTCCTGTTTTCCTAGTTTCTATTCAAGTATTTGGGGTAACTGATATTTCTTAAAACAATATGTATTCTTGGAAAGAGATGTTTCTAGAATCCCCTTCTTAGGTGACTTATTAGGAAAAATTATAAGAATAAGAACGAGAATAGAGAAGAAAAGTAATTGAAGACATCCACTTCAACTCTAAATCCCCATAGGAGAAAAAAGGCTAGCACTTATTTAAATGCCCTTCTTAGGTGACTTATTAGGAAAAATTATAAGAATAAGAATGAGGATAAAGAAAAGTAATCGAAGATACCCACTTCAACTCTAAATCCCCACAGGAGAAAAATGGCTGGCACTTATTTAAACTCATCTAGGGTTTAGTTTTGCTGATGTTGTTTTTCCAATAATAATCTGTTTCAATTATTATAACAGCAATTTCAGTGAAATATGGTACTTACCAGCTAAGTTTTACACAGGGAAGCACTTTCCTAAACACTTCCCCATCCTTCTTCAAAGTTTGAATCCAAATCTTTTGTACTCCAGGGCTTATTTTGTTTTTCCTACAGCATTCTGCCTTTCTAGAATTAGCACTAGTTACCCTCAGGAAAAGCAAATACATGGACCCATAAAATAATCTTTGGAAGTCTTTCTTCTCCTGCTGGTTACCAAATTATAATCTTCTTATTGTAATAATAAAATAAAATACAAAATAAAAAGAACTATTTTACTCTAATAAGTTTCCCATTAAGCTAAGCCTGCTTTTGTTGTATTAGAGATTAACATATGTAGACAGTGTTCTTTTTGACTGGAAATGGGGATTAGTTATGGTTCAAGTAATGCATAAACAAGATGTATTTTTAAAAATACGTCATATTTATGCATTATATTTAAGCAGCCATTTGTAAAAAGCTGAAACTTATTAGAAAGTGAATTCTTCATAATCATGTGTGTATTTTCAATGTTTAGGATTATTTGTTAGCTTAGGTATAGACTAGATTATTTTTCTAAACAAACAGGAATAAGAAATATAGGTAGTAAAATTTACATGACCTGGTAAAATTTAAAATATCCATTCTGACTAACAGGCAGTGATGAGAACAATAAATAAAATATATCTTGGTTTAAATTCTAAGTAAATATATTTGACAATATAAATATAAACATACTCATATGAGTGAATTGCTTCTAATTCTGGCTTTTAGCTAAATAAGCACTTAATGCTAGTAAGAAAAATACATTATTTCATAAAGATAACAAATTCTTTCAGAAATAGTAATTATATTTTTAAAGAGTTTGGGGAAAATAGAAGTGTATACTCTAATCTTATAGCAAAGTTTCTGCTAAGTTTTTGTGATGCCAGTGTTTTCATTATGAATCATTTCACTGTCAAACAAAATGTACGCTGTTGATTAAACACAGGCAAAAAGAGACGGAAAGAAAAAGGTATATTAAAAAAAAGACCTTTGGTTATTCTGGCTGCCACCAATTGCTTTCTTGTTTCAGCTGAATTTTGAAGTAGCTAATCATATTTTGGCATTTTCTTGTCATCAAAGCATTTCGTGAAATTATCCCATTACAATGTTTTTCTCAGAGGCAAAATTAACATGGTTGACAGTTTAATTGACATATTTCTTTTTCGTTGTGTGCCTTTGCCAATTAAACAAATTGCACCCTATTTTGATGTTCATTTTGTTAATTATTTGTAAAACTGTAGACTCTGATTTTTTTTTTTTTTAATTTTCAGGTGTCAGTTTCTTGGTCGGGAATGAAAATAGTGCCAACCTGTGATACCTTCACTCTAATTTTACTTTCTGAGGAAGTTTTCTGTAATAGTTATTTGGTGATAATTATTAATACTGGTGAGTTTTAAAATTTTTGCTTTCAGCAATTTTCCATTTTTTTCAACATACTTATATCGCAATGAGGCAACCAAATATGAATCCTGAGAATGAAGATGGAAAATGAATATTTTAATCCAATATCGAGTTGTTCTTTCAACATTTTTAGTTTTAGTTTTAATCGAAAATATAAAGTTACATAATTGTGTGAGGAATAATTTTTGCAGAGAAATTTTTAAAAATTCACAAAAGGAAAAAGAAACCTTTACCATGAGTCTATAACATTGAAAGACTGTGTTTAAGTTATTTTAATAAAGCCAAACCAACACTTTCAGCAGGAACTAAATGGCAGCATCTGATTTCACGCTGATACATATGTATTAGTGTGGTGCTCACTTTTACCCTTCATTTTACCTTGGGTCTTGCCATTTTCTTTCTTTTTATTTTTATGTTTTTTTGTGTTTTGTTTTCTTTTGGAAGAGGTAATTTTTAGGGAGAAAAAAAACACTTTTTCCTCATAGGTCGATTTAAAATGTTGGCCTTACCTTAATCTCCTCTCTCAAACTCAATCCACTATGTAATGGGTCAACATACTTTTCTGTGAAGGAGCAGATAGTAAATATTTTAGTCTTTGCAGGCCATATGGTCTCTGTTGCCAGCTCTTCCATTGTGGTGTGAAAGCAGCCATAGACAACACAGAAATGAATAAGTGTAACTGTTCCAATAAAAACAGATGATATGTTGAATTTAGCTCACAGAGTTTAGCTTGCTGCCCCTGCAGGAGGCCTTTGGAGTAAAAGCTTCCTGAGAGGAGGACTTTTTGTCTTTTTTGCTCAAGTTCTAGCTCCAGTACCTAAAATAGTGCCTGTCACGTAGGTATTGATGAATATTGGAACCTGTTGAACATACACCTAAAATAAAACATTTGGCAAGATACAGTACTACACAATTTGGAGAACACTTGGCTCCCATAGAAATCAAAGCCTTCCTGAGTAATTAATTATTTGGCCTGATGATGAATTACTGTGCCTGAGATGATAGAGCTAATTTATTTTTCAATTCACTCAGGGGACACACGTTATTTTCACTGTGAATTTGGTTAAAATGAAAAGATTTCCTGCTCTAAGTCCTGGATAGACCTTTATGTAATAGCATACTCTTCACTCTTTTTGAATCGCATGCAGTTGTCAGACTGGATGATTTCCAGACAGAGGTTCCAAGTCTTTCATCATGTTTGGGTTAAAGACCTCATTAACATACTAGTCCTGCCATTTGAGTCTGTTCTCTTCACGGAATATTTTCACCTGAATCAGTGGGTATAATTCATCAGTGTCTGGTTGCTTCAAGTTATTTTTCTTAATGCTGATGTTAATGCATGCCCATCTTTATGCCTCAACACATTGCACAATGAAAAACAAAAATTATTTTGGAAGACACAGCTGACATCTATATGAAATATTCAGTATCAGTGATTGAACTTCAGCAAGCTCCTGTGGCCAGCAGGGTTTTACGGAGGTGCAACTGCTCTCCCACGATCACTTATCATAAAGCCAGAGACAATTGGGCCAATGTAGCCTCTTGCCTGCTTTTGTGTACAAAATATAAATAGAATAGAGCAAATAAGGAAAAATAGTCCCGCAGCTGGAAGGCAACTTTAAAGAAAAATGATGTTCATAGCTGTCTTGCCAGTAGCTGGCAAAGCAGTTTTTATAAGACATATTTAATGTTTACA
This sequence comes from Homo sapiens, assembly GCF_000001405.40. Taxonomy (NCBI): domain Eukaryota; kingdom Metazoa; phylum Chordata; class Mammalia; order Primates; family Hominidae; genus Homo; species Homo sapiens. Next base: position 202,566 of record NT_187651.1, read on the forward strand.
ACCACTTGGAGGCTGGGGAAGGAGTAATACTTTGAAAATATGTTTAATGTTGTGAACCACTCTGTGGCCGAGAAGCAACTCCGGCTAAAATATATTTAATGCTTAGAGTCATTTGGCGGTTTCGAAAAAAAGAAACTTCTTGTTAATTTTTAACATTTATTGCTGATCAGTGGCTGCTAAAGTAACTATCAGTACAGCATGATTTATATTTAGGGACACGCTGTGCTGCTACTAAAACAATTCATACTCTTCTCTCAAGGCTACACAAAAAGTGTCAATAGCATTACCTTTGCAATTGCACCACTAATAAAAACATAGGAATCAAACAGACGAATAAAATGCTCCCTGCCCACACAGCCATAACATCCTATGGCCCTGAAAATAGTTCTGCCAAGCTGCGTGCAGTGGACACTTCACGGCTGGCACAGGAGAGATCACAAGGCCTTGCTCAATTTCATCAAAAGTGTTAAAGCGACTCAGCAGATTGTGAAGCACAAGTGGAAGCTGATAATTGGTGTTTCTTACAAATCAACGGCTTGTCTCCACACATCAAGGTAAAGGCGTCCTCTACACCAAAGAAAATGTAAATTGGGATAGAAGGTCATTATGTTTTTAAATAAACTTGGTTAAATTTGTAGAAAGGGCAATGGTAAATACTGAGCTCACATGTCAGATGGAGAGAAAACTTGAGAAAAGGGAAGAAGATAATGAGCTGGAACCTTTACCATTTAGACTTTCTCTGGCTAGATTTCTGAGAATGATCATCAAACTCTTATGAGGACCCTTTCCAATGTATTGACTGCACTTCCCCAGGGATTGTGGCAAATGGTAAATATATATTTTCTCCTTGCTACTTGCAATAACCCTGCTCATAAAGTGTTACTATTATTCACTTGCAGGTGAGAAAATCAATGTAAAAGAGGAGAAATAACCCACACAACCACATACAACTAGGAAATGATAGATGGATCTGAAAAAAAGGATATGCACTCTTAACAAGTTCAACACCCAAGTACTATTGCAAGTACCAGCTGTATTTCATGGAAAAAAAAAAAAGAATAACTCAAAAGGCAGAACGAAGAGCCTAGAGGTCAGAGATGAGAGGCATGAATAATTATTCACAGGCGTTGAATATAATCAAATGACTTGCAACATTTACCACTGGGATTTTAAAATGTGGTGGACCAATCATTCTTTTAGTCTGTGCATTTTCCCATTTTTTTCAACAGGAATGTCTAGAGACATTATTCCTGTTTTGCCACTGTATTTTTGGTGAATGTGTAGTAAGTAACTGGCCTCTTTAGTATCACAAAGCTGGATGAAGAAAATGTGGTACATATACACCATGAAATACTATGCCGCCACAAAAAGGAAATGAGATCATGTCCTCTGCAGGGACATGGATGAAGCTGGAAGCCATTATCCTTAGCAAAGTAACGCAGGAACAGAAAACCAAACACCACATGTTGTCTCTTAGAAGTGGGAGCTGAACGGTAAGAACACATGGACACAGGGTGGAGAACAATACACACTGGGGCTTGATGGGGGGTGGAGGGGAGGGATGGGGAGCATTAGAAAAAATAACTAATGCATGCTGGGCTTAATACCTATGTGATGGGTTGATAGGTGCAGCAAACCACCCTGGCACATGTTTATCAATGTAACAAACCTGCACATCCTGCACAGGTACTCCAAAACTAAAAGTAAAAAAATCTAAAAGAAAAAAAAAAAAAGAATTAAACCCAAAATCACTTCCCCATCTGGACTTGATTTAGATGAAAAGCTTCTGGACTTTGAGCTGATGCTATAGTGGGTTGAAAATTTTGGGGTCCTCAGAAGGGGATGAGGATATATTGCATGAGAGAGCAACATGAATCATTGAGAGCCAGAGTATAGAGAGTGGTAGGTAGACTGTAGGAGAGCCCTCAATGATCCCGGCTTTCTTGTATTCGCGTTGCACTTACTTGTATAATATGGCAGATGGGATGTGATGTCACTTTCAAGATTAGGTTATAAATAGACTATGGCTTCAATCAGAGGGTTTTCTCTCTGTCTAGCTCTCTTTTGGGTAGTTCATTCTGAGGAAAGCCAGCTGCCACGTTATGATGTAGGCCTGTGAGGTCCACGTAGCAAAGAACATATGGAAGATTTCTACCACCCCCTAACTAAGCCTTTAGATCAGACCGCAACCCCAGCCAACAAGGTAGCTACAAACTCTTGAGAAGCCTTGAGACAGAGGTACTCAATAGAGCCATTCCTATGAGAAACGTAAGTATCTGCTGTTTTACACCGCTAAGGTTTTAGCTAATGTATTATGCCATAATAGATAAGTTATATACAACCTTTATCAAATAATAAAAGTAACCATCATCAGTAATGAGACAAATCAAAAACCATGGCCCACCCAACAGAACATAATGAGGAGAGTACAGAATTGCTTCTGGGATATTTCTGACAAAGATGTATATGCTTCATTCATACATGAGGAAACATCACACATACTCAAGATGGGAGAGCCATTCTAAAAAATAACTAGGCAGAAATCTTCAAAAATATTAAAGTCACGGAAACCAAGAAAAAATATGAACCTGTTTCAGATTAAAGGAAACTAAACAGACCTAACATTTTAATACAATGTTTGATTTTGAACTTGAACTTTTTGTTATATAAGACACTATTGAGACAAGTGCTAATGCTTGAATAGGGCTGAAGGATTAGATTATAATAATACATTAATGCAAATTTCCTGATTTTAAACATTGTAGTTTGATTGCACAAGGAGAATGTCTTTATGTGTGGAAAATAAATAGTCAACATTCTGTCTTCAAGCTTCTGAGAAAACTCTGCTTTTAGGGCATAGATAGAAGTGGATGATAATTCACCTGTTCCTCTGCTACTAATTGAGCTGCTCTCTGTTTCCATGGCTGGCTCATGGGATGAGAGAATATATCTAGTTTTTTATGTTTCAATTTGTCTCTCTATGGCATTTTTGTGAAAATAAGGAAGTGTGGAGACTTATATATGTTTCTAAATTGTAATAGTTCATTAATGTAAAGTACAGACACAGTCTTCACTTTTCCTTCTTAGACCGTTTAAATATGGCCACGAAACAAGTAGTCTCTGGTTGGCTGGACACTGTGGCTCATGTCCTTAACACCAACACTTTGGGAGGCCGAGGCAGGCAAATCACTTGAGGTCAGGAGTTCGAGACCAGCCTGGCCAATGTGGCAAAACCCCATCTCTTCTAAAAATACAAAAATTAGCTGAGTGCGGTGGTGCACACCGGTAATCCCAGTTACTCGAGAAGCTGAGGCAGGAGAATCACTTGAACATGGAAGGCAGAGGTTGCAGTGAGCCAAGACCGCACCACTACACTCCAGCCTGGGCAATAGAGCAAGACTCCATCTCAAAAAAAAAAGAAAAAAGAAAATAGTCTCTGGTTAAATAACCTCTGAAAGACTCCACCAAAAATTTCATCTTAGCATTTCTCCCCAAACTTCAGGTAAAATAAAATAGAGTTGAGAGAAAAATAGAAAGGCAAGGGAGTACCTGTTCACTATTTTTATTAAACCAGTGTTCTACTTTATTTTAGGTGTATCTTTTCTTATTTAAATGTCAGCTAAACTTTCTTTTTAAGATATTGAATGAAAGATGCCCGTCCTTCAGGTTTCGTTTAAGCAAGAATCCCCATTCTCAAATAATATAATATAAACTTTCCAAATTCTTAAGTAGATCATCTGAGATTGAAAGCTAAGTTTAACTTTCTCAAAGATATTTTAGCCGCCATGACACCTAGACAAAGTGGTATATTAAATTCTGATTAATTTGGTCCTAAAGCACCTAAGAATCATTCTTACTTTCTTATCCACAGGGGTTATTAAGTTTTCACATTAAAAAAAATCCAACAGTGAATAATACTGCATTGGGGTTACTGTAATTGTTAAGTAAAATAAGAAATACAAATCTTTAGTTAGATCACATGGCACCTGACTACTGCTTAGAAAATGGTAAGACTTACTACATAAATCATGAGTCACTATTGACATCTACTATATCATATCATAGGTTAGGTATCTAATTATAAATAGTCAAATCAGCTGACTCAAGGTGGCATAGCTCAAGCAGAGGAAGATAATACAAGTTGAGTATGGATTTAACACTCTAAACCTGTCAGCACTGTAGGAAAAGTAACTTAAAACTGCACACCCCACTTATGCATAATCATCAGATATAAAGAGGGTACATTCCTGTAATTTATTGTTGCTCTAGTGATCTTAAAGAATTAAGTCCACATTCATAAAGTCCAAACTTGTCTCCAAGGATTTGCTTTGACTTTGGGAGTATCTGGATCATTAAGTAATTTCCGGAGGTCAGAGTAAAAGCTTTTTATCTCTAAATATTACTTCCCTGGAATATTAGATGTAGCAGAAGTCAGTAACGGAGTGACCTTTCTCTTAAACAATTCATAGATTCACTGAAATTTTCTTCAACTTTAGGAAAATTAAATATATTCCACAGTGCTGTAAGTCTTAAATATTGATTTTCCTCTGAAATCTTGACTCATCCTACCCACCAACATTCTCCCTTTGTACACTATGTTCTTTGTAATGTTCATGTTACACAAGTGAAAATTAGTAACATTAGTAAATTTTCATTGCAGGTTTATTTGTTCATATTTCTGGATATATAATCCATTACTGTTAAACTTCATATCAATGTTCCGATATTTCTTCATCTTATGTTTTATGTTACAAAACAGGTTATTTCACTATATGTATGTTTAATTGATTAATTCTTCCCTTTTTTTGGAAATGAAACAGCACTCTCAATTATTGGGACAGAAAAGTTATTTCATAGGGAATACTTCAAACACTGATATCTACAACAGGCAGTAAGATTCGTCACAACAATTGGTATACTGTCAATATACCATACAAAGTTCCATCTGGTCTTGATTAAAAATTATTTTAGTTTTCTCAGGAAAATGATACAGAGGGAGAATTGCCTAGATTATATGAGAGAAAAAAAAGTAGAGAGAAACATAATGTTTTCTTAGATTATTACAGCAGTGAACTATTTCCACCTGGTAAGAAGGGTGCACTTGAGAATGGGGTTCAAGTACTCTAGGAACATAGATGTAAGTTCTGGATGCACAGTAGTTGTTGCTTAGCTGTAAGCTGGAAATTTCAAGGCAGAAACAGCAGATACCACAACTATAACTGGGTCTCCTTGTTTTTTGTTTTATGTGTATACGTGAGATTATGGGGAAAGACAAAAGTAATGCATAGAGATTTATTTTTTAACATTCAATTCATAAGCAGTGTTTATACCTCTTTGTACTTACTTGAAAAGTGTATATTATGTAAATTTAGTATAAAAACACTTGGACTAATTCATACCATGTGGTAAAATTTCACATTCAAAAGAAATACCCTTCTGTTATTAAAAATAAAAAAAAAAGGAGCCAGGAGGGTGGCTCATGACTGTAATCCCAGTGCTCTGGGAAGCCAAGGTGGAGGGATCATTTGAGGCCAGGACTACTTGAGAACAGCCTGGGCAACATAGCTAGATCCCTTCTCTACAAAAAGTAAAAAAAAAAAAAAAAAAAAAAAAAAAATAGCTAGGCAGGGTGGCACATGACTGGCTATTAAGGAGGCTCAGGTGGAGGGATCTCTTCAGCCCAGGAATTTAAGGCTTCAGTGAGCTAAGATTGGGCCATTGCACTCCAGCCAGGGCAACAGACCAAGACCCAGTCTCAAAATAAATAAATAAAAATGAAAGAAAGCAGTGCACTGAAAATCAATTTAAGTATTTACTGGAGTTGTCTTGAAGGCCCAATGGGAAATGTCAGTAAGGGCACATGAGAAAACACTTTAAGAACCTATTCTTCCAAAGATCTTTCCAGTATCTTATGACAACACAGTAAATTATACCCACTCCAAATGCAAAAGCTGAAACTACTCTGCTTTCTCACTTACCTACACTTTTGACTTTCGAAATACATTTCTCTCTTCGGATATGAGCTGCAAACTCCTTATATAAAGGCTCCAACTCTGCAGCCCTAATTATTCTAGTTGGCCCAAGAAAAATCCTAATTGTTTTATCTAAGGAGACGGAATTTTCCAATACTGTAGAGGCATGTGTGTGTGTTTGCTTTAAGGAAGCTGTTTTGGTAATAAAAAGTCACTGAGGGTCATAAATTCATGTTAACACATCCAGTGTACATGAAGTAGGCACCGAGTTAAACTATTTGTCTACTATATAGCATGTCATCTTAAAAGCCTTATTTTTTCCTCAAAATATTAACTTTATTTTTCTCCCTGTAAAATCAAGACACAGTTAAAATGTAGCCTTCCTCATTTTCTGGGAATACTTTCTAACAAGATATGCTTCTTTCCAATTGGACTTCTAAATTTCTAGCAATTCTAACAGTGCATAAAAGAGGCAACCCCAAAAGTGTAGCAGGTACTGAATAACAGATTTGCAGCCTTGGGTATCCACATTAAAATTTGAAATCTAAGTGAATTACTTCAAGCTGATTTCTTAGGTCAAGGAGAGATTATGGTCCTTAAATGCCTGATAAGGTCACATACACAATTTCAAGTGCATTATAGTAAATCCATGTGACAGCTCCTACAGCTACTAACCTGCTTCCGCCCTCACGGTAACGTGCACAATCTTCATCGCATGTCCTGGGTGGTGGTAGGAGCAGTAGAAACCCCCTGGGTCATGTCAGATTTAGAAAATATAAGCAATGGCTCATACACGAATTTTAAGTTGTAACCTACATGTGATAAGTTGCTTTATCTTCCAAATGTAATAAAAACCAGAAGTTACTTTGAAATAAATTGAAGGATTAGCAGTGGTGACTGAGGAATAAAAATTATAATTTAAAATTGTCCTTAAAGCTGGAATTCTTAACTTATTGACCTTATATCCTACATATTATAGGACTTTGTAAATTTAGGCTGATATGGAAATGTATATTTATATCAAATTTAAATTTTTAGAATGATGGTGCTACTATATTCTAATTGTTAATTTGATAATTGTAATTGTAATTTGTTAATTTGTTCTAATAATATTTTCATGACATTATTCATTTGCTGCTTGGCTTGATGGCATAACAAGTATGGGTTATTTACCCTGAAAAGGAAACAGTATCACCCTTCCAGAATCTCTATTTACAGCTACAGAAGATGCAACACACCTGTTTCTGGACCACTTCCAGATCAGATGTGATGCATGCTTTAGATCATTTACTTTGATCTAGGAATTACTGTCTGGCATTTCGTGGTGTAGGGTAGGTGTCTCCAGCACTGTATAGGTGTCTGGAATTGAGATAAGAATCAATTTCAATACAAAATACATTTTTTGCTTAAAGCACGCAAGGATTCTATGAATTCAGGTAAATTCACAGGGTGGAAAACAGGAACTAATGTTATATATTCCTGTAGTTATCTTCATAATGAAGCAGAAAGAAAAACAAAAAAGTTACAAAAATAAATGAAAAGAACTGTATTTTCTAGAATTGAAAAATAATTCTTTTAGATGATAGATAAGATGTTTACATCAACCTGCAAAAAGTCAATGTTGAAGAGGTCTCATTGTATCTCACAGAATTTTGATTTGCCTACTCACCCACAGGAGACATTTCTGGGACAGTAGCAACATAAGGTCCATCCCAAAACTTTGGCTCATTATCATTAATATCCTGCACTTTGATGATGAATTCTGATTCAGGCTCCAGGGGCTTTCTGGTTTCTATGTCCACAGCCTGAGCACGAAGAGTGTAGAAAGGTTTTTCTTCTCTATCTAGGCTCCTTATTGCATGAATGTCCCCTGTGGTTTCATCAATGGTAAAAACGGTGCCAGCGCCATCTCCTGAGAGGGTGTATTTCGCAGTGCCCTCTCCCTTGTCTAAGTCGGAATGGAGCTTTAGGGAAGAGAGGGAGAGAGAGAGGAAGAGAAAGAGAAGGACAAAGAAAGAACACCATTAAAAGGAAGTTGCCAAATTAAAAAGTCATAATTTGCAATACAATTCCTTTAATCAAAAATGTTAAATAAAAATCTTATGGTTCTGTTTTCTTGTTTTTTATTTCTCCAACTTCTTTTTATAAAAATTTCAACACAAAAAGTTGAAAACTGCAATGAACACATATACATATACATCCAAACATTCCTCCATTCGTCTATTAATCTGCTTGCCTTATCAGATAGGTCTCATATCCATTCTTCTGTTCATCCTTCTCTTAACCCATTTTTTTTTTGAGGTGTTACAAAGATCAGAACAAAAGTACAACCTCAGATATAGCAGCAGGCAAAAAAAAAAAACAATAAATTTTGAAAATTTGTATTTAGTTCTTCTGTATCCCTTTGGGATAACATTTTCATAAAATGAAATGCACAAAACTTCAGTGTACTTATTGTTTCATTTTAAATAAACATTGCAATAAAAATAAATTAGCTCATAAACACCACAAAATAAACTTTCCAAGTGTTCTGAAGATGAAATCAATGACCTGAATCCAGTGGGAGATAGTGCAAAGGAACTCAGAAAACACTAAGCATTTTCATTTGTAAAGAAGGGAAAAATCTGGCAAATCAAGAGGTTTTCAGTGATATAGGGCAGAGCGTCTCATTTTAACAGGCTGAGTTTGAATGAGTTTACCACTATGATTGGTAGAATCACTGATTATCCTTTCAGATTCACAAATAGCTTGTTCCAATTCATTCTATATAGAGAATATTTATGTTGAGTAATATAGGAAAGCATTGAAATTCTGCTAATTTTGTTTTAAAATTCAACACATGTATGGTACATTACATTATAGCATGGAATAAGATACACATGAATAAGCGATAAGGAAGAGAACTAAAGAGTAGAGAGAATTATCAGTGTAATGCCATAAAGCAGCGTTGTTCAAACCGGAGACCAAGAATAAATGAAAAATGGACACAGTCTTAAAAGTATATAAATTATGTGTAAATAAATATATACATAAAATATTACATAAAATAAAATAGTACATCATATACAATTTTCTAGTAGTATATATTTGTATAAATATATTCTTATGCATAATATAATTATATATACATAACAGTCATAAATAATATTTATATTAATTTTTATGCAGATGCTGATTTAAATGTTTTAAACTATTCTTGCTCATTTGGGTATAGCCATTTGATTTCAGCATCCAAATTTTTACATGTAACAGCTTTTTCCAGACAACAGATCACCCAAAAGAAAATTAAACTTTTGCAGCATTTCTAACCATTTGGGCTACGCCTTAAAAATCTGCATATGAGCACTGCTCTTTGCAAATCATTGCTTAAGAATGAGTTCTGTTTTCCTAACATTTCAACACACACAAAAACTCTGAAAATATTTTAAATTATATAAATATCCTGTTGCAAATAAGCTTCCTGTGTATTAGTATGAGTAATTATAGCCCAAATAAATACAAGTTCAACTGTGGCTACATCTTTGCTCTTAAGCTCAAGAGCGTGCTTTAAGTTCAATAAAATAATATCATTGTTCATATTAATGTTATTAAGGTAAACTTATTCATTTTGTGACCCTGCATTTCCTTCAATATTTGTTCTAAAACTGTTTTGTATGAGAGTATAAGCATAACCATAAAAACCTGGTTGGGTAATATAATAAAAATAATGTGGCAACAATAAGAGGGAACAAGATTTTGGCGTTCCTTTAAAAGTTTCTGTATATTTTACTTAAGTATAAAGAAAATTGTTATGAATGATAGGAGGAAGGATTTTTGTCCACCTATTAAAAAAAAACTGCTGTGAAGCATAGGAAGTTTCAAGCATAAAATCAAGCAGTAGATAAATGTTCTTTGAACTTACGAATTTCAAATTATAAATTTCAACCATGCTATTAAAGATATTCAACACAGTGGATATTCCTTTTGCTTTCAAATTTATCTAAATATATGAGACAGGCAAAAGCTCAATGCAAAAGGCATGACTTTATAAAATGGATCCATTTTGCCAACAGCTCAAAGAATTATGGTAATATTGTGGGAACTGAGTGAAAATTCAGAGTAGGTTTTGAAATGTGATACAAGTAGAATTTTAAAAAGAAAAAAGAAAAAAATTTCTGTATTTAGCTAAAATCATAACTGTTTCCTTTGCAAACTGACATAAAAATGAAGAAGCAAAATGTGTCTTTAGTTATATCCAAGTTCCAAATTCAAGTTAATTACTGCTGCTCCTCACTCTTCTACCTTTTCCTTCAAATTTAAAGATGGGCTTTGCAGAGATTAAAGCTTCAGAAAAAAATATGGGAAAATATGTTAAAATGTTGACCTGAAAATGAAGTGGATGACTATAAAACTCTTGAGAGAATTAGACTTTTTGTAGCAGTTTATTACATGATAATACCTTAAAGGAGATCACATTCAGTGACCTGCGTTGACAGGTAATATTTAAAATTAAGTATTAATGCTGATTAATTCAGGCAGATGGGTGGTAGCCTAAAGTATAGACATTTTTCCAATATTAATTTTGATATTAAATAAATGACATCGGCTCTTGTTGGATATTGTAAAATTTCCTTTACTTCAACTGTAAAATAATTTCAACAGTGAAAGGTATAAAGTAAGATGAAAATTTCCATCATGATCTTACCTAGAGATAACTTCTCTTTTTTTGAGTCGGAGTATCGCTCTCGTTGCCTAGGCTGGAGTGCAGTGGCGTGATCTCGGCTCACTGCAACCTCCACCTCTCGGGTTCAAGCAATTCTCCTGCCTCAGCCTCCAGAGCAGCTGGAACTACAAGGCGCATGCCACCATGCCAGGCTAATTTTTGTAGTTTTGATAGAGACAGGGTTTCACCATGTTGGTCAGGCTGGTCTCAAACCCCTTACCTCAAATAATCCGCCCGCCTCAGCCTCCCAAAGGGCTGGGATTATCGGCATGAGCCACTGCGCCCTGCCTTCTTTGTTAATTTTATATGTTTCGGTTATGTAAATATATAACTGAAAGGGTAAATATATATAAATACATATTTACTGCACATTTATATTGATATATATTTCTCTGCTTGTATCTATCTATATACACACTTTATAAATAAATGAGTCAAGATTTTTAAAACAAAATACCAAATTTTTCAGTATCATTTGAAATTTTTCAAAATTACTTTTTTAAAATTTCTGCATATTCATTCAGTGAAGTTGAATGATCCAGTGGGCACTCTGTATTCCTTCATAAACTGTGTGGTGAATGTGCGTGTGTGTATGTATGTATATGCACGTGTTTATGTGTTTTCTGGGGTTAATTTCCTTAAAATAAAAAGGCAACTGTCAAGACTAAAGCTATAATAATTTTTATGAATCTTAGAAAATGTTGAATTTTTAGTGATTCCAGAAATTGATCTCTATCGATGAAACTGCTTTCTCAAATACGTCAGCAATGGGATTCAGGCTTTGCTTACAATGTGAAGGAAGTTCTTAGTCTCATTTGCACAAAGAAGGAAGGAGGGCTAAAGATAAAAAGAACTCATAGTCTTTTCCATAGTTTTGGGTCATGTTCACTGTAAAAAAAAATCACAAGATGCCATTTTTACACAGCCTTTTTAATCTACACATACGGCAAGCTAATAATTCCAAAAAAATAATTTCTTTCCTTTGTAGCCATTTAAAACTAACAGCTAGAAATATTTCTTCTTCCAATTATTAAAAATAAGCTGTTTCTGAGTCGGTGCTGACTACATTTACTGATTGAAGCAGCCAACTCCAAATATACCATCTTTTAGTATTGACACTTAAAATAAAACTTCTCCCCAGAAAAAGAGTTCTATAAATGATGGCTGTAGAAATAGGCACTGTCCAGGCAGTTGTTTTGTGGAAGTAGTGTTGTTATTTTCTGGTGTTTTCCAAGTCATCTCAGATGGTGCGTGAAAATGAGATGCCAAAGAAGGCTTAAAAAAGATACCCTGCACCAGCTTCAGAATGTAAGCAAATCTTTCATTCCAGCGCTTAAAAGTTTTGAGAAAGCTAATCTAAAGTTAAATGTTTACTAGCATCTCTCCGATTATATTTTAGAAACTACTGCACAAAAATAAAACAAATTTCTTATTTTCTCTGGGTTGAAAAGTGCACATAAAATGGAAAATGCTTTTTATACCACTATTTCCAGCAGGGATTTTATTTTCATTTGTCATTTGCCAGCCTGGGGTATGTTGGGAGAAGGAACAATTGATTTTTGAAAAGGTGCATTTGTGTGAAAACCAAAAATTGTGTTCAACAAATACTACTACTAACCCATATGTGGATATATGTGTTTTATACATGAGTAAAAAAAAAAAAAAAAAACATACATATATGTATGGCATATATATATATATATATATATATATATATATATATATATGCTATAGAAATGCCATCAAGTTACCAGTTTACTTCTAAATGTAACTGCTTAATATAAAATATGCATCTTTTTGTAGTACCTAATTCTTGCAATTCAGTGTATTTCCTGGCGAGAGGCAGAGATGAACAACCCTGGACAGTTACCACATATGGCTCTTATGAGGTAATGAGGATGGTTGTGATGAGAAGGGTAAAAAATAAAAAAGTTATTACAAAACATTTTTCAAGGAATTTTCCAAAAAATGATTTTAATATTCTCTTTGCTTATGGAATGATATTTAAAACCATGATTTCTGTGTCCTTTAAAATGACTTCTGATTTGTGAATTGTTCTCTGTGCTCCAAACTTCTTTTATTTGTCCCTGTGTTTATGCTCATAACCATTCATTTCCCTCTTTTCCCACTGACTTAGCCTCTGGGGTTGTAAAGAAGTTACTCGTTTATTTTTGTGTATGTGTGGGGTTTTGTCTTTTGTTTTCTGAGAATAAAGTATATGAGATCATGGAAAAAATCAGAAAACGAGGAAAATCATAAATTCATTACCAAAATAATTTCTGATTTGGTATTATAGCTCTGCAAATTACTTCACTAATTGTGTTCATAGGTACTATGGTACACTGTACACTGTTTTGTAACTTGCTTTTTAGATGGATTATATCATATTTTTCTGTATCAATAAATATGAATTCATTACATCAGTTTAAACTGATCAAAAACATTTTAATCAAAGTAATACAATTAAATTGCTAAATATCATAGGGAATCGAAGAGTTTATAATCCCAAACCATACTCTTTCTTTTCCTAGCCAGCTGGGGACATTTTTAATTGTTTCTATTTTCATTCTTTCTGTTTCAGTTCTTATAAAAATACATATATAAAATTGGCTAAATGATTAAATGTTATAGTAGTTCTTTAATTATAAATTTGAATAATATTTGTTGACTTCCAAACTGCATACCCCTTGCCTTGTCCAAGTAAAACTGTACCATCGTTTATTCTCTGTGTTGTCAATAAAACACTAAGTGATATCTGAGTTTCTAAATTTCAGTTCACTCATAGAATGTATCCTTTTTTTTCTTCTTGCCTCCAACATTTTATTATGAAATTTTCAAATTCATGATAAAAGTATATAGTATTCATCTGTATACTTACCTCCTAGTCTATATATTTTTTACATACTGTTTATAATTGTTTTATTATTTTCTACCCATTTGTCTATCTGTTAACCCAGCTTAATTTTTGATGCATTTAAAAGTAGGTTGTAGATACAAATAACCATCACCCTAACACCCTTCAATACAATGTTTACAGTTGTTTTTTTGACATTGGAATGTATCTGTGGTTTCTCTATTTCATAGGATCATAGCATTAACACCTTTACACTTCCCCTTACATCTCCTTCCATTTCTTCTCCCCGTCCGCCACCAGCTTCCATCATCTGTATTATACAGAATCTGTCCTAAAAAATTCTGAAGTAGGCCTTAGGTTTTTTTTGTTTTTTTAAAGGGTCTTGTTCTGTGGCCCAAGCTACAGTGCAGTGGCACAATCTCAGCTCACTGCAGCCTCTGCCTCCTGGGCTCAAGTAATCCTCCTGAATAGCAGGGATTACAGGCACAGACTACCATGCTTAGCTAATTTTTCTATTTTTTTATTTGTAGAGATGGGGTTTCATCATATTACCCAGGCTGGTCTCAAACTTCTGGGCTCAAGCAATCTACCTGCCTATGCCTCTGAATGTGCTGGGATTACAGGTGTGAGACACCCTGTGTGGCCAGGCCTCTTTTTAAAAATAAGCCTGATAGTTAATTTTATATGTCAATTTGACTGAGCCATAAGTTGCCCAGAGATTTTGTCAAGCATTATCCTGGGTGTGCCTCTGTGGGTGTTTCTGAATGAGATTAGTATTTAAATCAGTAGACTGAATAAAATAGATTGCCTTCCCTAATGTGGATGGGCCTCATTCAATAGCTGTGGGAATGAATAGATCAAAAGGGCAAACCCCTCCGTGAGTGACAGAGATCTCTTCCTGCCTGACTGCCTTCAAGCTGAGACACTGGAATTTTTTTTCTGCCTTTTGACTTCAATTAAAACATTGGCTTTTCCTGGGTCTTGAGCCTGCCCGTCTTTAGACTAGAACTAGAAGCTATCCTGGGTCTACAGTTTGCCAACTGCATACCTTTGGACTAGTCAGCCTTTATAATTGTGTGAGCCAATTCCTTATAACAAATCTTTATATATCGATATATAGAGATATATATTGATATATATATATATACCTATATAGAGAGATATATCTATATATCTATATAGATATCTATACCTATATAGAGAGATATGTCTATATCCATATATAGATATATAGAGATCCATATATATCCTCTATATATGGATACATCTATATATAGAGAGATCTCTCTAAATATCTCTATATCTATAACTATATCTACATCTACATCTATAGCTATATCAACATCCAATTTGTTCTTTTTCTCTGAGAACACCTACTGATAAATAAGTTTCTAAGTTTTGTCTATCAGTTGATGCTAAAACATTAAAAAAAGAGAACAACTAATACTCTTTTTACACTAATTAGAACAATGTAAGCCTTTTTGTTTTATTACCAAATAATTTGTATTTCCTATGTAATTGCTGCAGTTTTATTTTGCATATAGATTTTTTTTCCGTAACATCTTTGTCTGTTAGTGGTTTTATTTATGAATAAATAAATCCTTAGATTCATCCCACTTCTGAGGTCAGACATCAAATCTTTTCACTACATGCCTCTCTTTGGGAGGTTTCTTTCTTGCTAATCCAAACAAGAACATCTGCACAATTGTCAACCTGGAATTTACTTTATTAATCTCCTGGTTTGGAAACACTTTTTCTTGGATGTTATATTTACTTTAGTTTACTATTTTGTTGGCTTGCACTAATTTTATATGATTTCTTAATAATGAGTGTATGTTAGACATTTTACTTGAGTCTTTTCATATCACGGTATGCCTTTATTTTACCCTCATATATAATTAATTTTCATCTGGGCATATATTTCCAGATTAGAAATCATTTCTTTTCATACATTTTAAGGAATTTATACATTTGCATCTGAAATTGTATTCATTATCTTCTAGAAACCAAGAGTGGACTTGGTATCCGTCTGATTATATTTTCTTTGTTGGTAAAGAGCCTCTTTTTTCCCTTTTTATTTTCATCTTCTCTTTCTCTAGTGTTTATAATCTTATTTTTATGAATGTAGTCTAATTATTTAGAACACTGTCTCCGAGTATGTGTTTATTTGGGTTTGTGTTTTGAACATTGCCTCCAGGTGCGAGTTTATGTGTGTTTATGTTTCCTATTTGAGGTTGGACACTTAGAAAATTTTCTCAATTCGAAAACTATTTTCCTTCAGCACTCAGAAATTTTTATCAAAGATTATTTCCACGATTATTTCCTGTCCTTGGTTTTTCGTGTTCTTAACCTAGAATTCAATTGTTTAATGTTAGACCTTACACATCTTCAATGTATCATATATATTTCACTCATATTATTTATTGTCATATCTTTTGGACTATTGTGTGAAAGCAATAAATGTATATTACTTTATTTATTGGTAATGCTCTTCATTTTCAAATTTAATACACACAAATTGTGCATACCCACACACATATACCACAGATATATTCATTTTCAGGATTTCTTTAAGTGTTATTTTAAAAATAATCATATTCTTATTTTGTGAACTGTGGGATTTCTTGAAACTTTTTGAAAACTCTCATTAGTCTGTGTTTGTGTGGTTTCTTTAAATTATCTCTTCCTTCAGAATTACTTTTGTGTTTTGAATTTGAGTCTTTGCCATTCATAAGGCGGGCTTTCCTTGAATACCAGATAACTCTGAGTTTCCTGTTCATATTTAAGAATAAATAACCTAATTTGAAGTTTTGAGTTTTTGAGTTGTATTTATTGATCAGAGTTTTGGCCTAGAATGAATAAAAGAATCAATCATTTCTTCTACTTTCAGATATTCGGTTGGGGGTGTTCTAAGCACAATGGTGTCCCAACACTGTCCTAATTCTTTGCAGGTTACCTACAGAATAACGTCTTTTAAAAATTATTTCTTTATTGTTTACATTCTGGTCATTAATGCCTATATTTTATGCATTCTCAAGCATATAGGAGAAATTCTGTATATAGAATATTAGTTCATCTCTGTGTTTTTCCTGGCAAATTTTATGCCTTTTCTTTGGAATCACTGCCAAATCTGGGTCTCTTTCAGAGCTGTGCCTTCATTGCTGGAGCCCTCTCAGTGTAAACACTCGCATATAGCTCCTTTGGGCTTGTTTAAACAGTCACCAATCCTTCACCTATGTGCAATGTTACAGAAATTGGCCATCTTCTCTGATGACCTCTACGCCACTCCCTCCCATCAGAATTACGGGTTGTTATTTTTGTTCCTCTGCTATAAATTACTGATGCTCTCTGAAGAGGAGTTAAAGGTGTTTGGGAGGTACACCATTTCCCTGTACCAAAATCATATTAAGTAAAACTTGAAATCAACAGAAAAAATAGAAGTAATTATATGATGAAAATCTATATTCTCACAATCTAGATTAAACCATTCTCAACATTTTGTTGTATTTGCTTTACTTTCATATATGGATGATTTGAAAATAATTTACAAACATCATACCAACTCACTACACAATATTTCAGCACCAGTTTTCTGAAAATAAGACCTTTTCCTGCATAACCACATTGTCACAGTTTCAGTTAAGAAAATTAATTAAAATGCCTGTTATCACTTAATAATGGGTCATATTCAATACCCCCACTTCTCTCTCCAAATATCTTTGTAGCATTTTCTTTCTTTGTTTTCTGAACACGAAGCCCCATAAGTTTCAAGCATTGCATTTGGATTAGTGTCTTTACTTTCCTTAATATAGACGGATCACATATTTAAATATTAACAATTTATTTGTCATTATCTTTTGTCATGGAACTAGGTCCCCATTTTGAATTTTTCTGCTGGAATGAGAAACTTCCAGACATGTGGTCTAAATCTTTATTGCTCTATCTGTTTTACTATCGCTCTTCTTCAGTCTCAAAACATATATGGACAAAAGCAATCACATAAAGGTCTGTCCTACTTAATATGGACATCTTTATAAAAGCAGTTACAGAATCTTCTGATAGATCTATACACACATTCAGATGTAAGGGATATGTTTCTTATACAGGATACTCTCAGTACATTTTGTTGTAATAATCACGTATAAGTGGTAAGACCCATTACCATTCTTGAAATCTATGATTATAAGTGATGTAGAATGGTTTAGTAGTTAGTGATTGAGATTTAAAGTAATATTGTCACTGATTTGTTTACTTACACACAGGATTTACTCACTTAAACCAGCCAATATGAGTATAAGAAAATTTTGCGTGAGTTTCTTTGTCTGAAATAATTTTATTATGTACAACACAAACTACTTTTGCTAGATTCTTCCTGGTAAACTTATAAAACACTTAGTGTTTCCTTTTTTGAAGTTGCCTAGTTTCATGCTAATACTTATTCTGAGCTCAAGAACATCATAGTGGCCATTATATTAACTACAAAGCCATTAGATTATACTTAAGGTATTTATAGATGAAAGAAGATCAGACCCAAAGATGATCTATAACTCTGCCTGAGTAATGTTATGCAAATTGTTCTCTTTTCAAAGTCACCGAATGCCCAAGAATATTTAACATTCTATGCTAGTCTACTCTCCTGAGGTGACTCATTTGTTCTCCCTAGTTTAATTGTTGCTATATGAGCAAGAGGGATACCACTTTACAAGGTTAGGAATTCCCTCTAACAGCCCAATGTGCTTTGAGAACTCCCCTGCCTGAGTAACAGACCCAGAGCTATTTATCATCTGGAAATATTTCACCTTATATTGAAGAGAGCAGAAATCCATCTCAAAAAGGCCCCCAAGCATCCCCAGTGTATGCCAAAGAAGCTCACAGAAGAAAAAAGAATATTTGCAATGCTCAAGAGCAAAAAAGCTTATGTGCTAGGATATATTATACATCCTGTTATAGAAAAAAAAATATGCTATTCCCCCAATGCTGTCTTTTATCTTTCTTACTTTGCTCGAATATTGCCTTCATGGCTACATATAAAAGCCATCCTATTTTCTCAGATTGTCATATTTTACAACTTTAGCTCACTCCAATTATAATCTCTCATTTCAAAGTGTCACAATATGTGAATAAGAACTTCTATAAAAGTTGGAGAGGTCACTGGCTTGGACCCAGGATTTGGGAAGAAAAATATGAGAGAAGGTTAAAATAACTTCTTTCTTACTTTTCCAACATTGTAAAACATATTTCACAAGCTCGGTTTTAGGGAAAAAATTTCCAGACAATAAACCATTCATATCAAATTTTCAGTAATGGAATCTCTATTTTGAATAACAGTAAATTTGATGTATCATTTCAAACAATGTAGTTATTTTTCAGAATACTACATAAATGTATGTGATTTAGTCTAGATTTAAAAATAAATGCCAATAATAATCAGTTATTAATAACAATACATTACTATAGTTAGATATCATTTCTTAATTTATTGTTAGCATTTCTTCATTATTTCCATTATTAGCTCTTATCGAATATTATATACTATGTTAAATGCCTTATAGGTTTTATTTAATTTTGACTAACCACTGATATGCTATCATGAAAAATCTAGTAATAAAATCTTTTTAACTGAATTCAAATAGTCCCAAGTGCAAAATAAAATTTTAAAAACTATATGTCCTACACTAATTTATTTGCATATGCACTTAATAATCCCAATAAAGCAGCTTAACCCAAATCTGAACTCGAATGTAAACTCCATCTAACCTAATTTCTTTCTGTTAGTCTTTATTATCATAGTCACTTCTATTTATGTTTTATTTTCTCCTTTATTTTTTAATTTTTTTTTAATTTTAAATACCCTTTTATTTAATGGTATAAAATGTCTGGCTACATAAAATCAAATCAATTACGATAAGATAAATATAAGTACGATTTCAAAAAAAGCTAAATCTAGCTAAAAATTCTACATTTTTAACACATGCGAAGTATACATGATTTATTAGTAAAATGTAATACATTGGGAGTAAAACTTTAAAAAATATTTGATATATTCACATTTCTTAATTGCAGTATAGACAAAATGACCTACGAATCAAGCATTTTGTTCCACGGTCTCTACTGTTAGCTGTATGTCTCAGAAACAGCTTCTTTCTCAAGAGAGAACAAGAGGGATAATGCTGGATCTAAAGGCATCATCTGAAGAAGACAAAGATATCAACAATCGCAACTATTTGGCTTTCTGTCCATCACTGAGACTTTTCATAATCTTCCCTTCATAAATAGGATCTCTTGATCAGAACAGAAAAGTTGAGTCTTAAATTTCCTGTATTTATTTCTGACTGATACTGAGGGAAGTGCAAATTTGGTTGCTATGATTAAACTCCTTGATTGTTCTTAATGGGACTCTTTTAATAAGTCAAACATTTTTGCATCTAAGTATATTGATGAGCGCCACTTTATCTCAAATGTTTACACATACTAGGGAAAAGCATCTGCAGTTTCTGAACTCTTTGTGAATCAGTATCACTTTTTCATGTTACTTCAGAGATCAATATTCAGTGCATTGGTTTTATTTACCATCTTTTCTCCCAGTTGATCTTGTAATCATCAGAAAGGGAAAAAAAAATCTCCTTCACAAAGCCCTTTGCGACAAACTTATGTAAATAATAATCTAAGGACAGCTAGAAAAAAAATACACCATACAGGGGAATAGATCCAAAATTGATATCTGCCTCACCTGTATCACCTATTGTATTAGTAACTGGAAAGGTAAATAAATAGCAGAGACTAGAATGTTTCCAAACGTAGTCGTGAAAACTACTCCCCTCCTCCCCCCATATAACACTACAACAGGTTACTTTGGTTACAGGATATGACAATAGCTCTGCAATATCAGAAAAATGCCTGCCTGGCGCTGCGGCTTATGTCTGTAATCTGAGCACTTTGGGAGGCTGAGGTGGGCGGATCACTGGAGGTCAGGAGTTGGAGACCAACCCGGCCAACATAGTGAAAACCCGTCTCTACTAAAAATACAAAAATTAGGTGTGGTGGCGGACGCCTGTAGTCCCAGCTACTTGGGAGGCTGAGGCAGGAGAATGGCGTGAACCTGGGAGGTGGAGCTTGCATTGAGCCGAGATCACTGCACTGTACTCCAGCCTGGGCGACAGAGCGAGACTCCATCTCAAAAAAAAAAAATGCCTACAGTAGATTAGAAATAAGGAAAAGTTGCTTGATTTCCTAATTTTCAGGGTATAAGAAGAAATCTAGGCTATCCATGGGCATTCCCAGAAACATCAAGGTTTGCTAAAAACAGAAAATCGGAAGTAGAACAAAAAAAGCGGTGGGAAAAGCATTTAAGACATTGAGGCAAGCCGTGAGGAGTTTGTCAGTCTAAAGGTTGAGTAGAGGACCTTTAAGAAGAGGGAGACAAACATTAAATTTTCAACTTTCTGTAGTTTGATATAATACTTTCCAAGTTCTAGGGTTTCATTAAAACTTCACAAGCTTTTGGATTTTTTAACAAATATTAGGGCTGTGCTTCATGCTTGGGTTAATATGGGGTGAATAGAAGGAACAGCTGGGGAAGAAGAGATAAGAGACAGATTCTCTAGTAGAAATTAGGAGAAACGTAAGAATCCTATACATCTGCGTATATTTGAGGAGTCTTTAGAGTTCACTGAAGTTCATGGATCGGACGTTATAGCCATTTTAATGTATTTTCATTGTGACAGGATTGACTTTAGAAGGCTTAAGAATTTTGACGAAGAAAAAAGGGGAAAAAGAAGGCATAATAGAGAGAAAGGAAGGAAAGAAGAAAAGACAAAAGTGTAGCCACAAAATTGTCAACAATAAGAATTGTATAAGAATACATATTCTTCAAGAAATGAAAATAATTAGAACACACATTATGCCTAAATACGTTTTAAGAAATCAAATAAACATGTAGTTTCTAATGGAAGTTCTTCCATGTATTAGTAAATTCTTCCCACAAAGCAGTTTATCTATTTATTGTGAAAGCGATTGAGTTTTGCAGTACCAAGGGATCTTTTGCTTTTAAACCAGTTAATTAGTTTTTATTAGATGCAATGCAGTGTTTTGACCAGACTTTTCTCTGTGCTTTTGGGTGTGTTTCCCTATTAGCAGGTAAAACATTTATCTCTTGACTAAAAGTAGATGACATCTTTCCCCAACCATGAGTCCTCAGGTTGTTACAGAGGCTGCCTTCCTGTCTCACTCTGTACCCCCCATTGCCTCTCCAAGTTTAAAAAGGAAATGATTAATTAGTCAAAAGAATATGTTAAAAATGTAACATATTATGTTTAACATAAGTAACTAATGATTAGTCAAAAAGAATATGCTAAAACTTTAACACATTATGTTTAACATAAGTAACTATATTAAAATTTAGAATATATTTATGATTTCCAAATCAATGGTTTGTTTTTGCAAAACCTGCACCAGAATGAAATGACCCTACAAAGTGGAGATAATATAAAATCCTTTTTTTCCACTGAAATTTGTTTTAGATAATACTAATTCTATCAGTGGCTTTCTCTTACCCTTAAATGGATGTTAAATTAGTTGAGAGATGTGTTCAATTCACAATATTTGAGAATGGAGCAATATGATACACTTATATCAAATCCCTTTGTGTAATCTTATTCTTTCTCTGGCTGTTGTACACTTTTCCATCACCTCATATTTAATTTGTATCCTTCTTTCTGTCATTTGCTGTGGATTTTTATCAGAGTTGGTCTAATTTTAGAGGTCGAAGTTTTCTTTTCACAGGGATATGAAATTAGACACAATCATACCATATTTAGTGATTTCTGTGTTTTCACCAGATCAAACACAGATCACATGGTCCATGCTCAGCAATGGTTTGATGAACTAATGAATTTATAAAGGAACGAATGCATGCACATATAGCAAGCCCATCTTTAAATTTTGTTGTTGTTGTCGTTTGAATTTTTGTTTGGCATATAGGGTGTATACAACATAAAAAGAGTTAAAATCCATGATCCTGAACATCAGATATTTGTGGGTTAGAATCCGAAACTGATCACTTATTACATTTGTGTTATTGTGTAAATTACTGAATTTCTTCATACCTCAGAGTCTTCATATGTAAAATGTAGACTATAATATTTATATCATAAATTTGGAGAATACTGTAGAGAATTTGGCTTCACAGTTTGTTTTCCTTCATTTCTCTCCCTTCATATCCAAATAAGCCCAGTATAGCAATATTCCTTTCTATTTATATTAACTTATATAAATGTGCATGAGAAAACTGATTGGATTCAATAAGATGGTAGAAAAAGCTATCAAGCTTCTATATTTTGCCAGGCAACTTTCTAATGGCTTTATGTGTCTAAACCCACTTTAATACTCAGAAAAACACTATGATTACAATCCTTCTATTAGCATTCTCATGTTGTAGATACAGAAATTGAGGGACAGGCAGGCTAACTTGGCTCAAGACACACAAGTAAAAATATTCAGAGCAGAGATTAAACCAGGTTGTCTAACCCCACGTGTCTTTGGGACTAGCATTTAAACTGAATCATCTCACTTTTAATTTGATAATACAATGCCATTAACAGGAAAAAAAACTTTTGAAATATCTTGAGAGAAAAAAACCAAAAAAGCTGAATCTATGTTCAGAGAATTGAATTAGCAATAGATATAAACTACCCAAGTTTTCGTTTTGTGACATCAATTTGAGCAAAGCCAGATTTGTATTACCCTGAATGCATTAATAACAATAGTATCATTGAAAAATACTTTCGACTGCCCATTAGTAATTGTACTAGGTACTAGAAAACACAATTTAGTAATCGCTCCCAGGGAGTCAGTTTTTTGAATAAAATATTTTTCTATGGTTGTGCACATTGTGCCATAATTTGCTTTGAAAGACATAAAATCCATCATATTAAAAAGGTAATAGAGTAACTCCATTTAATAACAGAAATGGTCATTAAAATATCTACATTCTTTCTCACAATGAACTAATAACTACACAGATTTGTGCATGTGTATGAAGACGTTTATATGTGTTTTATGTGAGAGAAAAAAATGAAAAAATGGTATTTTCTTGTGCTCAGACAAGCACAATTTTTGCAAAATAAATACAAGGCCAAATATATATATTTATTTATATATATATATACTTGTTATATATGTATATATAGGTTATATATATATTTGTTATATATATAACAAATATATATATAATTTGTTAAATATATAACATTTATATATATGTATATATATCTCAATGCTCTTAACAATGCTCATAAGAACACAATCTGAAATTACAGTGTCTGCTTATTTTCAAGGGTGGTTTGAAGGTGACCTATTTTTTGTAGCATCCATCACTGTGGGGATTGCTTAGTGTGTTAAAGCATGAAGCCGCCTTACCGAAGTCTTCTATTTCCTTTCCTCATTCTATAGTAACTACTTCAAATGGATTTGAATGTGTAATATCACAAATGCAGAAAAAATAAATACAAGAACTTAGCTTGTTTTCTTTGCATTATGAGTCAAGTTTTTTTGTCAAATTTACTGCTAAGAATTAATATTTCATGGTCTTATATCTTGTAATAGTATCATAAATATTATCTTACTTGCATAATAATTTATACATAATATTTATTTTCTGCCCCATAGTGTGAAAATGAGTAATCTTAATCCCAAAGATAAATATTAACTATCCTGTGTAAGAAATGCAGTAAGTTACATCTTGTTTCTAAATACAGGTTAGTGAGAGATCATTTTTTTAAAGCTCTCATTATAAACATATTAAGAAAGGAATCATTCTCAGAGTTTACTTATTTCCCAATAGGTTAATAGGATTCCCAAGAAACTGCCAAAGAGATAATAGTTCCATTTTGACTTTAACTTAAAAGAAAAAAATAAAATAAGAAGGCAAAAATGCAAAAACGAAAAAAATAGATGTCACAGATGCTATAACTTGAACTTTGACTGTTTTAGCAAGTATATACTATTGAATGCCTGACTGAAATAAATTGATTTCAGGCTGTTGCATTTTTAAAGGTCAGAAAGTTTTTTTTTTTTTTTTTTTTTAAATGAGTTTCAGGATTATGAAAGCAGGTGCTTAAGTAGAGATTGATTGAAGCCTTAAATGTTGAATATTTCTTTTAAAGTTTGGTTGCTTTTCAGAAGCTACTAATTTATTATTATTATTATTAAGGTTCTCCTAATGATTCTTGGAGTCCATGGAATTATGTGTGTGCGTACGTGTTCGTAGAACATTTTCTTAAAACTGACACATGAATGTTATTGACCATAGAGTTGCATTATTTCCGAGATTAAAAAAAAAAAATTAGTTTTCTTACTGATCATCCACTGGTTTTTACAATTTTTCCTTCTCCATGTATCGTTGGTTTCTTATTAAGGTAAGTTACAGACAGAACTTATAGATGGAATTTCCAAGACTAACCAGGGTCCAAACATACTTCAGTGTATTATTTTACATCATAAAACTTGATGTATTAGTCCATTTTCACTCTGCTGTAAAGAATTACCTGAGACTGGGTAATTTATAAAGAAAAGAAGTTTAATTGATTCACAATTCTGCACAGCTGGGGAGGCCTCAGAAAACTTACAACCTTGGCAGAAGGCGAGGCACATCTTACATGGCGGCAGGAGAGAGAGAGAGAGATAGCCAGGGGTGAAGTGCCACAATTTAATACCATCAGATCTTATGAGAACTCACTCACTATCAGAACGATGAGGGGGACATCTGCCCTCATGATCTAATCACCTCCCACTAGGCCCCTCCTCCAACATGTGGATATTACAATTCGAGATGAGATTGGCGGGGGGTGGAGGGTGGACATAGAGCCAAACCATATCACTTTAGCTTATCAATACTGAACTAAATCAAAATCAAACCTGAATTTTCAATTATGACTGAAATGTAACCTACAGAGTAGTAGGAAGTATTCTACAACAGACTCCTAGATTTCTCTCCCCTGAGTGTCCATATCCTGCATAATCTCCAGGACTGTCAGGACAATGGATTTTATTACTATGCTTATGCTATGTCATATGACACAGTTAATCTTCAAATAAGATTATTTGGGTGGGCCTAACCCTATCACATGAGACCTGTAAAGCAGAAAGTTTTTTCCAAGTGTAAGAAAAGGAAGTCCAAAACACATGCTCCAGCCAGCTTGGAAGAAAGCAAATACATGTGTTAAAGCTGTGGATGCAGAGAAGCCACCTGCAGGAGTTGAACTACCTACACCCCAGCTCACAGCTGGCAGTAACAAAGGAAACCTCAACCTTAAGAGAGCAAGGAAGTGTCTTCTATCAACAATATGAATTATCTTCAAAGCTGCTTCTTCCCTAAGAGCCTCAAGAGATGAACACAGCCCTGCTGACACCTTGGTTTCAATCTTGTGAGACCCTGAGCAAAGAACTCATTCACACTGGGCTGAATTTTTGCCTGCAGAACTGTGAGTTAATAAATAAGGGTTATTTTCAGCTGCTAAGTTTATGGAAATTTGAAATGCAGCAATAGAATACTAGTACAGATAAATACTGAAATCTAATATTTGCATTACTTCACTTAAAAAGAAATCATGCCTTAAGAGTAAAGAGAATTTTTATTTCTCGGTTATGTGCTATAGTTCTCTGATACATTTTAATTTGTTTGCTTATTTATTTTTCCCTGCCAGTATCCTCTCTCCACTATTTCTGGTTGACACTTCTGCCCCTTCGTTTTATCAGTGTTTTGATACCTATCCTCTCTGTGAATACAGTGATATTGGTAATTACTGTATTTTGTCCCTTACCCACAGGCTGAGCAAGAGTCTTAGGTCTGGCCAATAATCATGGGCAGCTTTTTAGAAAAAAGAGTAGTTGCTTCATTACTCAGATGGTCCCCACCTCATCTTGTGCACTGGACAATGTAATAGAGTTCCCTCTAAAAATGGAGAAAATAGAGACTACACACAAAGGGAGACAGAGGTAAGAAAATTAAGAAAAGGAGAAAGAAAGGAGTTCTGACCACATGATGTCAATTCCAACAAGTATTCTTGACTTTTCCACATATAATGTACTCATCAATCTCTTACTCTGAATTTGTTTTTGTTACTCTAAAGAACAACAACAACAAAAAAGAAAAACAATATTCGGCCTAAGTGACCCCCAAAACACAATTTCCTACTTTCTTTTCCATGCAACTGGCATTTATTGAATACTCATTGTATTCAAGTTTCACAGATTTGGAACAAGTTCATCATTACGTCCCCAAAGGTAACCTGGGAAGAGAAACCTTGTTCCACATCAAAGTCAGTACAGCAGGTTTTGCTACTGCTTCATCATTTATACAGTTGGAAACAACTCTGTTTCTTCTACTAGGTCAAAGTGAAATTGAGAGGCGAAGCCGGCTGGGCTTCTGGTCTGGTGAGACTTGGAGAACTTCTCTGTCCAGCTAAACGATTGTAAACATACCAATTAGCACTCTGTGTCTAGCTGAAGATTTGTAAACACACCAATCAGTACTCTGTAAAAGCGGACCAATCAGCACTCTGTAAAATGGACCAATCAGCAGGATGTGGGCAGGGCCAAATAAGGGAATAAAAGCTGGCCACCTGAGCCAGCAACGGCAACCGAGTGGGGTCCCCTTCTACACTGTGGAAGCTTTGTTCTTTTGCTCTTGCTGCTGCTCACTCTTTGGGTCTGCACTACCTTTATGAGCTGTAACACTCACGGTGAGGGTCTGCCACTTCACACCTGAAGTCAGTGAGACCAGGAACCCACCAGAAGGAAGACACTCCAGACACATCTGAACATGGGAAGGAACAAACTCTGGACACACCATGTTTAAGAACTGGAACACTCACCGCCATCACGGCTTAGTGCTTGAAGTCAGCGAGACCAAGAACCTACCGGAAGGAACCAATTCCAGACACAAAATGTCAGCCAATCCAAACTTATGAAGGAGGGAATTCTGGGCTGTTGATCTAGTGTGTAGTGAGCTCAATATAGAGGACAGAGCTTTCATCATGTAAATTGATATGCAAAGGCAAATGAAACGTGGTGTGTACTTCCTACTGATGCGTCAGGGTATAGGCCTCTTTTTCTGCCATTCAAATAATGGAAGTTAATTAAATTTTAAACAAATGTATAGATTCATTAGTTTTACTGTGCTCCATGCCAGTATTCTCCAACTCAGCCATCCTAAGCATTTTTTAAAACAGGGGATTTTTGAAAATGAAAGCTTAGCAGCCACCTCATTATGCTAAATGTCTGTGGAAAAATGCGGGGCCAGGGTTCAGTTTCTCCCCACTCCCCTTTCCCAATTCATAATCATAGGCACACACAGGAGGTATCACTGTAATTCACAGAACACATTTAAATCTTCTGCTTGAAACTTTGTGGTACCATTATTTGGCTACTCCAAGCTAACCTCTCTCCTATCCTTTTCTGAGGGAAACACTTTGTGCTCAACATAATTTTTGTTTCATTCCAAGTTTTGATGCTGATTGCATAAAAAACAGCCCACAAGTACTGCTGTATTTTTAGTTTAAAACAGGCTTTATTTACTGCCTTATAAAATGTTGAGTACTTTTGCTTCCGTGATCATGCTATGCTTACAGATATAAAAATTGCCGCCCATTTTATGTCTTGAATCCTTCCCTGAGTAGTCGGCATAACATTTGTTGGTTCTGAGTACACGTTGGTGCTAATGAAGCTTGAAATTTATTGACCTTCTCGTAAGAAGGAGAATAATAAGATATTTGAGCAGTCGGCTCAGGTACTTATAAGTTCACACACACGTGTTTTTTTTTTTTTTTTTTTCTTCCAATGCCTGCTTGAAGTGTAGACCATGTCTTTCTCGTACTAGAACTATTTCTACTACGATTCTTGAGCTGGCCATTCTAGAGCTTTGCACATTCCTTGTCTGAAGGGATCGGCCCTGGCCATGCCAGCTGCCTCCCAGCCATAGGTAGCTCCTAAACCAAATTATACTTGTGATCAGGTATTGCAAAAATAATGTTAGTGTAATATAAATTGGTAAGAAGAAAGTATAGATTTTAAAAGAAAACCAAATGGTCTTCATGCATGGCTTCTGTCGGCATAAAATCAGGCCGCTGGAACTAGGAAGTTCCTTAGAGAACATTGTTTCAATTACTTCAGTTCACAAATGAGGAAATTGAGAATCAGGAAGGCTAAGTGATTTCCCCAATATCATAGAGCTAGTTAATTACAGAAATCAGAATAGAAACTGGGTTATCCAATCCTCTGCCCAGGGTTCTTTCCATTACACCAAATAAAATTACCTGCTGCTATTTGGGCTAGATGGCTCATTATAGGAGCCTTTTAATGTTTCACAAATCAAAATATTATGTTCCTATAAAATTTAAAACAGTTAAAAATAAAACAAGTTTTGTTTTCTGATGGTTTCAGATAAAATACATTACATTAAATGGATTTCATATGTAAATGTGTTACCGCATTTATATGAGGAAAAAGTTCTACCAGAAAGCATTAGGAACTGAGAATTGATGGCTGCCAGGATTAGAAAGGATGACATCAAGTTCAAGCTCCAGTAGCAACACAGAAAAATATAACATGGAGTAAAATTAGTAGATAGAAGCGTCATTATCTGACTTGGGTATGTTTGAAGAGAAAAATGTAAATCAAAAGAAATGGGATTATTTGTTTATTAATAATGACATTAATATTTTCTATTTGAATAATTGCTATAGACCTGTGAATTATTTTATAGATATTATCTTCTTTGACATTATTAATAATCGTTTTCTTCTTAGCAATCAAGATGAGGGGGCTAAACCTTGGGATATTAAAGTATTTGTCCAGCATATTGCAGCAAACAGGTTCAGAGTCTGGGAACAAAACTCAGGTGTCCTGACTTTGTCTCAATAATACATATTCTCTGGTTTTATTTTAAATTTTACTGTAATCTATTTTGGAAGCTTTTCAACAATGAAAAAGAATACTGTTCCTCCAATATTTATCCCTGTTTAAAGGGCCCAAAGTTGTGGTCATGAAGAAGCAGTAAATGATGAATATTTTCTGCATTTCACATCTTTTATCACATGTTATATATTGTGGGGCATAAAATTTTATGAAATTATAGTTACATGCCTGAAATGGATTTTAAATCTCTTCATTTTCTGTGTCAAAAGTGACAGCTGTAAACCTGAAAAATTAAAGCTGCGGTGTAATTCATCTTATCCATAAATAGTTTACTATACATTATACAGTTTGAAGTAAACAATAGACCAGACTTAAAAATGATATTTTTCCATGGAAAACTATGTGATAAATACTAGAGATGCCATGAATATAACTGAAATTATATCACTTAAATATAGACAGAAGATTCTCTACTTTCTTCTTTTACCTTCTTTCTCTCATACTCAAAAGATATGAAAATGTCAAATAATATGCATATTTTAAAGTTGTTTGCACTGCAAATAGATAAACGAAATCGATCTGCAAATTTCCAAGCTAAGAGATGATTATATCTAAAGTAATTCACCTGATTATTTAGGATTGCCTGCAAAATCTACAATGATTTTATTCCTCACAATATTGTTTTCCAATTTGGGGTAGGAGCTAAAAGTTATTGTATGACATCAAGTGATTTGAGGGATGAGAATGTGTTTCCTTAGCGGGAAAACTTGCTGAAAAGAAGAGAGATTTTTTAAAAAGTTCTTGCTTTGACCTGTCTGGATCAGATGGTTTAAGGCTACAACACGAGGCCAATATCTGTATGTGAAGGAGACAGAAACATCAATGTTTGGAGTATATATTGACCTTCATTCTTACTTTCTCCTTATTCTCTTATGTAACTGTTAATTTTTCCCTTCCTTGGCTCTATGTATTTAATTATAATAAGCTTTACCTACAAGCAAAACAAACCAAACATGAACAATGAAAACTACTTTTGGTCATGTAGCAGAAACAGCAGTCAATAAAGGAGAGAATGAAACTAGAATCTTTTTTAAACTAAATCTGAGAAGAGTGTAAGCTTTCAAAATTTTAAATATATATATACATTTGCACTTCAGTGATAGTGCAATTCCAGTCCTTCCACCACAGATCATGTGTGGTTTTATCTATTAGCATAATGTTAGTTTTCTCTTGCATCTTATGTTGAGTTTACGTAGTACAGAGGACACAAATAGTTCCCTGCTTAAAATGAGAACTAATCCTTTTGTGTTATTAATAATTACAATATCAAAGTTTACATTAAAATTTTTAAAAATGTCTGTACAAAATATCAGAAAAATCAGCCTACTTCTTTATAATTGGCTGGGTAAAGTTGCATTGATGTTAGATCTTTATAAAATATTTTAAGGGTCAGCATTTTAAGCAGAATAGCAGTAAATAGTTCCTTACATAAAAGCAAACTTAAACATATGACAGTGTCTTCTCGTGTGTCATTTGAATGAGGGAACCACAGTTGGTCTCCTGAGAAACTGTTCTACCCTTCATTTCATGATACACAGTACCCTAGGCTCTGTCTTTCTTCGTTCTTTTCCTTCTCAAGGGAAGGTTTCTTCCTTCAAAATGAGGCATAGATAAAGAAGGATCTTATATTTACTATAACTTATGCATGTTTAATTGTTTTAAAACATCATACAGAGAAAATTAAATACCACAAACGAAAGTATTTAATCTTAAAGTTTGCCTTAACGGTCTCCATTTCCATTCACAGTGCTTAGAGGTGAAGTGCTTCCACCATTTACAATTTGCAGCAGGACATACTGGCAGGAAATCTTTATTAAAGCAATAGTAGCCCTTTCCTTTTTTCTTTATTTATTTTACAAACCAACCCTTAGTTACTATGCTTTAGCTGAGACTTACCAATTTTTCTTCAAGTATCAATTAAGGTAGACATATTATTCATCATGAGAGAATTACCATTCAGTATTCTCTGGGTGCTTTTTCTCACATACTTGTATCTTGGTCTTAAAAATGAAGCACCAACATTTAAAAGGCAAACATGAGACCATCTCTTCTGAGACTGCCATTGTATCTAATATTGTCTGATTCAAAATGTGGGTCTAAAAGCAAATGAAAATTGACTTTCTTTTCCAGCTCGGCACACAAACCCATTGAACTGTCCCTTCAGGTTTGATGCGCTATCAGTTAACACTGCACTATCTTCACAAGAAATATGATTTGACCTGAGAAGAACTGCAGCAGCCTGAAACATATATTCCCAGATCATGTCTCTCAGAGTACTGTAGCCATTAAATGTCTTCCATAATGTTCGTGATAAATCTGAGTATTAGTGAACAATATCTGTTAAAGGCATCTCTTTGGAACTTCAAGTCTAGTGTACAGGTGCGCATCTGCAATGGGATTTTCCAGTCATAAATGTCGATAGGTCAATCTATCAAGGTTTTCCTCAAACAAGTATATATACTCAGCACTAGTGAAGTTTTATTTTTTAGAATTTATTTTGTATCTCTAGGTGGATATAATGTAGAATATCACTTAAAGGCATAGACTTTAAAATCAACTGCCTGGGTTTGGTGCTATGACCTTGGGCAAAATAATTAACTTTGTATGTGTAAAAGGGAAATAACTGTGGCAGTTGGGAGAATTAAATAAAATAATAAAAAGTTAAGAGTTTAATACAATGCAAATACTTTGCACTACTAGGCATTACCTAGTATTTCCTTCCACCCATTTGTGTCTAGTTTCTTTTTCCCATGGTTGTTTGAGCCGATCTGCTCATTTGCTGTTATTAATGAAGTTCAGTCACAGTGTAGAAATGTGACTCCTGCTATTTGCTTTTTCTTTTCTTTTTTCTTTTTAAAATTATTTTGTAGAGATGGAATACTGCTATGTTGCCCAGGCTTGTTTTGAACTCCTGGCCTTAAGCTAGTCTCTCGCCTTGGCCTCCCAAAGCTCTGGGATTACAGGTGTGAGCCACCACACTCAGCCCCATGTGCTGTTTCTTATGCTTAATGTTTTTTGGTTATTTTTTTTTTATCTTTGACAGCCTGAGCCAATATCTATGTGTACTAGGAAAATGCCACACAGAACACTGAGCCTGGCATCACATCAGCCGTTGGCCTGAGTGCAAATGATATCTGCAAGACCAAACAGATAAAGCTATATGTATAAGTCTCAGAAAGAGTAGGAGGACTCAACTTTGGTGATCACTTTATCAAGTTAATCTCAACAAATAAGCAAGGGGTGGGACTCAACCTCTTCATTCTTACTGTAGCAATCTGGAATCAGTCCATCACCATGACTGATGGTGTAAAATGACATAATTACTCATTAATCTCCACTTAGAAAGTATATATTGCTACTGGCTGGAAATACTGCAGCAACCAGGAGGACCTTCACATTTCTACCATGTAGAAGAATTAAAGATTATTACATTCTGTCTTCAAGTGATGATCGGATAGTGCACAAATATTTTACCTGCCATACATATAAATTCAGCCAATGTGCAATTTAGTTTACAATATTCTTCAGCTGCAAAAGGGTACTTATACTTTCTTTAATATCTATTCAGCTCGAAAAAAAGCCTATCATATCTATTAAAATCAATAGACTTTTTACTTTGCATTTGTTGTTTACTTACATTATTAGAAAAAAGAAGTAATCAGTACTGTAGAAAATTTCATTGATGCAGTTTTCCTTTTCCTGAATATTTTATAAATTAGAAAATAAAGGCCAAGACATATTAAATAACTTGCCCAATCCTAGGTAGCTGGAACATAGGGAGTAAAAACACAGACGTGACTTCACCCTCTAAATTTGTCACCATTAATTGTTGTAGCTTTCAGCAAATGATTACTTCAGAACATTAAATCATAAGACAATGAGATACACTATCTTTTATTTCACTGAAGCTAGTGAACATCTATTTTAAGCAATGTCTTTAACAGTTTCTTAGCCTTTTGGGATCTGATTGCAAAGTTGTTAATGAGCATGACAGCCACCGCTAGAGGCCTACCTGATATCCCGTTCCCCTTCTCCTTTTTAATAGAATCCTTCCATAGTCACAGCATGTATCATCAATGGCTGTGTTTTGCCCAATTAAAATGCTCACTCCTCCCAGAATGCCTCAGAGCTAGAGTACACATGTGACTTCATTTCACCTTATGCAGTAAACATGGGAAAAATCTTTTGGGGCTTTTTAGGAAAAGTTTTTTTAATTATTTTATTCTATTTTTTAACTTTTAGGTTCAGGAGTACGTGTGCAGGTTTGTTATATAGGTAAATTGAGTGTCATGGGGGTTTGGTGTACAGATTATTTCATCACCCAGGTTATAGGCATGGTACCCAATGGCTAGGTTTTCATTCTGCACCCTCCTCCTTCCCTCTGCCCTCGAGTAGGCCCTGTCTGTTGTTCCTTTCTTTGTATCCACCTGTATTCATACTGCATGTACTTTTTGCTGCTTTTTTTTTTAATCTCTCCATTTTTTTCCTTTGTCTTTTCCATGGCTTGCCAAAATAATGATTAGAGATGCAGAAACTGGTTTACGATCATAAAAAAGAAAGCCACATGTTTGATTGAGAAATTAAAAGGTCCTTTTTTGATGTTATCATGGAGTTGCTGTATAAGACCCAGGATGCCAATCTTTGGGTTGCTGTATAAGACCCACGAGAAAAATAAATCCTTCTTTGTTTAAGAGATTATAATTGGATTTCCATTCTGTGCTGCTGAATCCAAATCTGACCTAGGAGATTACTAGGTCAGTATTTTTCTTCATGCAGCAGTGTTTATACTTGTAAAAGTTATTTATGACTTTATAGGAAGAATCATATCAATGTAAAACATATGTAAAAGAGAGACTCCAAAACTCATTTAGTTTGCTCTATACTAGTCAGTAAATATAAAATGAAAAATATTCCAAACATTTTTATTGATAGAGTCATTTAATTTTGTATTTTTAAATGACAAATGAATACTTTATGCAAAGAAAACTTATTATGAACTCTCTAATAAATAATGAAACAATTATTTTGTAAAGCATTTTAAAAAGACAAGAACATTTAAAGGGAAATGATCTGTATTGAGAATACAGAGCTACCCTTTTGTTACAAATCAGGTAACTGTTCTATATACTATTTTGCATAAAACTGCTATAAAGTTTGTATTTTAATAATGCAGTTTTCCATTTTGTAAATATATTTTCTTACAAAATATGAGATGCATTTAAAAATGATATTTATTCATTGGATTTATTCTCCATATCCCTTAAAATTCAATTAAATCATTTACAAATTGTCTGGTTTTAACTTATCTGATTGAACATCTGTAAATAATGTGTTTGAGCAAAATTCACTTTTTTATAAAATTGCAAGTATGGGTATCTTTTAGGGACATGTGGGTGACTCTTTCAATATAGAAGATCACACAAAATTTGGCCATAACACGTCACATATCTCCATAGCCTAGAGACACATCATGAAATAAAGTATTTCATTAGCCTGCTGGGACAAGATTCAGTGTGCACAGCAATATGGAAAAAAAAAATCAATATAATGAACATTTTCATAAGCTCAGATTTCCTGATTAAAGTATGATTCTCTGAAGACTGCTTCAAAATGGATATAAATATAAGTACTTTCTCACTGAGCACTCTAAGAGAAAGTTTGGAACACATTCTATTTTGAACATTATAAATTGTGCTTTCAAAAATGATATATAGCTAAAGAAAATTATTTAAACAAAAATGGGCTTTTGATTTAGTGGATATATGCCTAAAAACTGTATATTTTTCATTTTAATAATACCTGTATGGGAAATATATATGGGTGTTAAGGGATCTTATTGCCAGTCAGAGAATGGAATTTGCTTTTATAAATTTATGAATAATTCTTACCTTATATAATATATATAAAATTTTCAGTATGATGCATGTATATTAAAATGTATAAAAAGAACTATAATCGTCACATTTTCTCCAAGCATTTACGTGAACAACATGTGAGCTGGGAAGAGAATCAGAGGTTTATTTAACTGGAATTAGTTAATGAAGTCATCTGTCACTGTTAATTTCTTGCCTTGCTATTCCGTTATCAAAGCAACTGAAATGATCTTAAAAGCCAACCATTAC
This sequence comes from Homo sapiens, assembly GCF_000001405.40. Lineage (NCBI taxonomy): Eukaryota > Metazoa > Chordata > Mammalia > Primates > Hominidae > Homo > Homo sapiens. Next base: position 238,188 of record NT_187651.1, read on the forward strand.
AATCATTAATACTCAAAGTAAATATTACATTTATAGATGCAGTAATCTCAAACCTAGCACTTTCATTCAATCATAGATTCTGTCATATGAAGAAAGCCAAAGAGACAATTTCAGAGTAAACATTGTTAATGGAAATTACGTTTTGAAAGGGCCTCAATTACATTGGCAGTGGGCCGTCCTCTGAGCACCATAAGAAAATGTAATTTCATTGAATAATTCTAGTGTTGCATTGACTGGAATCAAAAAGTGAGTAATTCATTTGTACTTATAAAAGGAAAAATACTTCACTACCACACAGAAAGTGGAGAAGAAGCACACTGGACTGTGAGCTTCTAAAGGGAATATTTCCCCGAGACCCATCTTCATAGTCAATAAATAAATGTTTATTTGTTTCGTTTCATGAAAGAATAAATGATCAGTAGGCCCCTGCTTCCAAAAAAAAAAAAGGATTTACATTTAGGTTAAATTCCAGAAGTGTAATACTAAGAAGTGTCTTTTTTAATTTAAAGCTTCATGCTATGTTAAAACATTTTTGGCTCAAAATTATCTTCTTTTTTTGTCCCATTTCTGTCTGAGCACTTTGAAATAGTAATTTAGTTTTACAAATGGAAATGATTTGACTAAGAACAGGAGGGTCTGATGCAGAAAAAGCCTCAAATCCTGGATCCAGATTCAATGTATTTATCTTTATATCAGTGAATGAGAATACAAATGTACGCATTAAACCTCAGTCCATTTCTCTTCCATTCTTCTAAAACAGCCACCCATTAATTTCTTACCTCTGTTCATTATTAAGCAGAACACATATGGTTTGCATTTTCATAAGACACTTGTAAACTATTCCTTCCTCATGCTGTTATTTTGTGGTAATTGTCAAAGCTACTTATGAAGCCACTCTCAGTGCATAGAAATCCTACACTGAACCCCACTGGAGAAATGAGGGGACTAGTGTATATTGTTAGCAATAGGAAGGCTCCTATTTCACTCAGTAAAACCTAAATCCTTGGAGTGGCCTTCAAGTTCCTACACTTTCTGGCCCCTACACTCATTCCCACTGTTTCCTTAACCTCATTTCCTATTACTCTCTTCTCGCTGTTCATGCACGCTGCCCTGCCACCTCAGGGAGTTTGCACTGCTGTTCCCATACCTAGAGTGCTATTCCCTAGATATCCGCATGGCTAATTCTCACTTCTTTCAGTCCACATTGTTGCTGAAATATCAACCAAATTGAGTATTGTTGTCAATCCCACTTTATTTTGTATTATAAGTACGGGGGTACATGTGCAGGTTTGTTACATGGATGTATTGGGTAATGGTGAGGTTTGTGCTTCTAATGTACCCATCACCCATAAAGTAAACATTGTACCCAATAGGTTATTTTTCAACCCTCATCTCTCTCCTATCCTCCCCACTTTTAGAGTCCCCAATGCCTATTATTTTCCTCTTTATGTCCATGTGTACTCATTGTTTAGCTTCCGCTTATAAGTGAGAATATGCAGTACTTGATTTTTCGAGTTATTTCACCCAAGATAATGGCCTCCAGCTCTATATGTGTTGCTGCAAAACACACGATTTTATTCTTTTTATGGCTGGTATATGTACCATATTTTCTTTTTTCTTTCTTTCTTTACTGTATTTATTTATTTATTCATTTATTGAGACAGAGTCTTGCTCTGTTACTCAGGCTGGAGTGCAATGGCGCAGCCTAGGCTCACTGCAGCCTTTGCCTCCTGGGTTCCAGCGATTCTCCTGCCTCAGCCTCCTGGGTAGCTGGGATTACAGGCACCTGCCACCACACTTGGCTAATTTTTTTGTATATTTAGTAGAGTCAAGGTTTCGCCATGTTGGCCAGGCTGGTCTCGAACTCCTGACCTCAGGTGATCTGCCCGCCTCGGCCTCCCAAAGTGCTGGGATTACAGGCATGAGCCACCGTGCTCGGCCCTAGTATGTACCATATTTTCTTTATCCAGTCATCCATTGATGGGCACTGAGGTAGATTTCATGACTTTCCTATTATGAATAGTGCTGCAATAAACATAGCAGGCAGGTGTCTTTTTATAAAAATGATTCCTTTTCCTTGGTGTAGATATACAGCAGTGGGTCAATCCCATTTTAAAATGCAACCTGCTTTGACCTCAAACACTCTTGATCTTTCTAATTGTTGTGATCTACTTAAAAAAAAAAACCCACTGGCCATTTTCTAATGTATTGTATTAAAACATTTTTACCTGATATTTATTGTTTCTTTATCATTCTACTGGACCTTAATTTCTATGAGAGCAGAGGATATTGTCTGTTTTACACTGCAAATATACCCAAACCACTCAGAACAGTGTTGTGTTTACTGCCACTATCAGACACTTTTTGAATTAATGAATAAATTTATAATCAGTCCTTCAATTATTTTTTCCTAAATTGCCTGAAATTGTATACCTAGTCAACTTACTCTCCTACTCTCTGCAATGGGTTTTCAAATGTATTCAAACTTCTGGTTACCTTAGAACTTCTAGTGCCATCCCTTTACCTTTGCAGCTTATAGGTCACCTTTGTTCTCAGGTTGGCTCAATCCTATGGAAAAGCTTTCTATCCTCTTTCTACCAACTACTAAAGCTGTTTATCATTTTCTTTTGGAAACATCTTTCTTTGGCTTCTGAGGCATCCCACAGACCAGATTTTCTATCTCCTCATCTGGCCCTCTTTATCAGTTTCCTTTGCATGGTTATACTTCCTTGCCCCACTTATTGGGTAACTCTATGTCTGTGTTTCAGGCCACCTCTCTACTTTTAATTTTTTTTTAAATATAGATGGGGGTCTCATTATATTGACCAAGGTGGTCCCAAACCCCTGGCCTCAAGCAGTTCTCCCATCTTGGCCTCCAAAAGTGCTAGGATTACAGGCATGAGACACTGTGCCCAGCCAAGCCCACCTCTCTGCTTATTTGAAATGCTTTCTCGGGTAATTTCATTCATTTTTACAGCCTCAATCCTTATTAATACACCTAAATATCCCTCTCATCTAAACTTCTGCTTTTAAGTTCCAGTCTATTGTTTCAGTCTCTACCCAGATGTCTCAAAACTTTATGTCTATAAATGTGTAAATAACAAGAACTTGATCTATTTAGAAATTATATAATAGTAAACATTACTCATAATTTAACTGTGAAAACACCACAGTTTTGAATCTTATGTCTGAAGGCTTTAGTGAGTTCACCTATAGATATAACATTTGCAAACTAATAGGTGAGAGATTGGGCTTTGAGTCAGATATTGGTTTGAGTCCATGCTCTGTTCTTTTTAACTTCATTAGTTTTCTTATCTTCTCTATTTCTCAGGGTCCTCATCGGTATAATCTGATCACTGACAGTAACTAGCACATTAGGTCGCTCTAAGCATGAAAATAGGTAATGCATGTGAAGTGTTCACACTGTAACAACCTTGCATTAATCCCTCAGAACAGTTTTTTATTATTATTAAAATTAGTATTGTTTTATTTTCCTGTTTATCTCAAATTATAAACTTTATAAATAATATGAGTCATTTTCTTTAATATTGGCCTATGAATCATAAACAAATAATTCATAGGCCAATATTAAAGAGAATGAACTCATGTTATTTAAAATTATTTATTTACACTTTTGACAATAAAAACAGAATTACCAACCAGTTGCATTCAAGTCACTAAATTAATTGTTTTAGAAAATCTCTATTCTTGGATTGCATAGGAAAAATCTAGTGTAACAGTAGATAGCACTATATAGGGAAACCAATAAAGGTAATAAAAGACAGATCCTGGACTTATCTTCTCGTGTATTAACATTAAATGAGGATGATAACAAGCTCAAGAGATCTGTTATACAACGTGGCGACCATAGTTAATAGCAATGTATTGTATAGAGTGCTTGAAAATCACTGAGAGTAGATTTCAAGTGTTCTCACTTTAATATCTGGTAAGTATGTGAGGTAAGCCATATATTAATTAGCTTGATTTAGCCATTGCACAATGTGTACATAGTCCAAAACATACTGTTGTACACCATAAATATATACAACTTTTTTGTTAGTTAAAAAAATAGTAAAATGATGATGACAAACACAGACCAGGAAGTAATAGTGTGGCTTCCACTAAGCCTATTTTATAAAAATAAAACATTCTGTTGTTTGTATCAGTTGGCCTGCAAAATCCAGAAAAATTATTCCCGTTTAAATCATAACACTTTCTGGTTTCATTTAATTCCACTGTTATTGTTAGGTTGAGAAATGTAAATAAATGTATAGAGATGCAAACTGAAAATAACAGGGACTAAACCTTCTCCCCATGGTTTCCCAGGAAGAAGATGGTGAAGTTAGAAATTCTTCCTAGTTTCCTTTCATTTATACAAAATCACACAGTAGCTAGGCTATATAATGTTTTGGCTGATGATTTCAATGCCTGTTACACATATCATTTTGTTATTTTGCGGCTTTTCTGGTTTTTTTCATTATCCTTCATCTGTCTATTTTCAGTTGCAAAGGAAATGTTTGTGTTGTATATGTGTTGTGTACATGCATGTTTTGAGATTGAGAGAAAAAGAGACAGACAGACACACAGGGACAGAAAGAGAGAAAACAGGAGCTCATACTGATTTTGTATTCATTAGAAGGCAAGCCCCATGAAGGTGGTAGACGTCCTGCTTTCCTCGCTGCTGTTATTTTTGTATTATCTTGATGCTTTTGGCACTCACCATATATTTGTTGGCTGTGTCGTGAAATGACATTCCCTGCTTTCGGAATTATGAGGAGGAGATGAGTTACTTATAAAAGCACTTAGAATTCTGCTCACATGGCCGGGCGCGGTGGCTCACGCCTGTAATCCCAGCACTTTGGGAGGCCGAGGCGGGTGGATCATGAGGTCAGGAGATCGAGACCATCCTGGCTAACAAGGTGAAACCCCGTCTCTACTAAAAATACAAAAAATTAGCCGGGCGCGGTGGCGGGCGCCTGTAGTCCCAGCTACTCGGGAGGCTGAGGCAGGAGAATGGCGTGAACCCGGGAAGCGGAGCTTGCAGTGAGCCGAGATTGCGCCACTGCAGTCCGCAGTCCGGCCTGGGCGACAGAGCGAGACTCCGTCTCAAAAAAAAAAAAAAAAAAGAATTCTGCTCACATGAACTATACAATTTTTTTTTTTTTTTTTTTTTTTTTAGATGGAGTCTCGCTCTGTCACCCAGGCTGAAGTGCAGTGGCATGATCTTGGCTCACTGTAACCTCCACCTCCTGGGTTCAAGCAAATCTCCTGCCTCAGCCTCCAGAGTAGCTGGGATTACAGGCGTCCACCACCACGCCTGGCTAATTTTTGTATTTCAGTAGAGATGGAGTTTCACCTTGTTGGCCAGGCTGGTCTCCAACTCCTGACCTCAAGTGATCCGCCCACCTCTGCCTCCCAAAGTGCTGGGATTACAGGCGTGAGCCACTGCACCCAACCTACAAGCTCCTTAAATTGTATTTTTATTATGAAGACCCTCAAGTTTCACAGCCACTTGAGGTTTGATCATATCCTTTGTTTTATCTATAAATTTGCTCAAAGAGACTTCCCTCTCCATCTGTTTGTGATAGTTTTGTTGGGAACTCATTTCCATAGAACTTTATCTGAGGGAATATTTGAGGACTGGGCTTAGGGTACATTCCTCAGCATAGGATTTGGGTTTGCATGTCCCAGATATCTGGGATTGCTCCTGACCTGAGACCATTTTAAAACCACATTTGGGACTTTAAGGTCTTCTGGGACCCTTCCCCGGTGTGAAGGAGAGCCCATGGAGAAGAATTCTGCCAGGAGTCTTCTCTTTCCCTTCTCTACACAGAACAGTCTCTGAGACAGTCATGGTTATCTTCCATCCTCTTCTATGGGGTAGAACTTGCTTAATTTTTTGAATGTTTTAGTCTCATTTAGGGGTGCTAATCTAAGCTCTACCTGGACTGTGTGGCCATAGTCCTTGTTTACTGTCTCACACTTGGGTGTGGCCTATTAAATCTCAAACTCTGCATCGATGGGACCCCAGTGGTGTACTTCTAATGCCATCAAGAGAACATGATGCAAGAAGCTGAGGTGACTAATATTCCCTGTTCTTACACTCTGGATCTACCACCACTAAGGCCATGTTCTTTCAGGCTTCCCAGCTAATGAATAAGCGAAACAGAATTAATAATGCCAGCTCATCCTTGTAGGATGTGCACTCCTCTGACTTTGGCTACAGGACTCACCATCTCTCTGGCCAACATTACTGTTTTCAGAGCTGCCCTATTATATGAGGGCCTTCCTGCACGCCCTACTTCCATTCACAAATTTCAGCCTTGCATCAAAATCCAAAGGCTCTGCCTGTCTTCTCTGGCACCTTCCCATTGATCCTTCACAGAAATTTCCCCCCCAAATTTCTCCAACATATAATTATAACTTGGTGATTAGAACTGACGAGTAAGTAGCAAACACTAATCTAGGACAAGCATACTTTTCAAAAGGAATGTTACTTGTTGATTGTAACTTTTAAGAATTTACTTTACATTAACATCAACTCAACTGTGCAGTAAAAATAAATAAATCATTAATTTTAACATTTTTATTTTTAACGTTATGTGTTCTAGAAGAAAGTTTGTAGTTGGCCCGGCGCGGTGATTCATGCCTGTAATCCCTGCACTTCGGGAGGCCGAGGCAGGTGGATCACTTGAGGCCAAGAGTTCCAGACCAGCCTGGCCAGCATGGCAAAACCTCATCTTTACTAAAAATGCAAAAATTAGCTGAGCGTGGTGGCGGTTGCCTGTAATTCCAGCCATTTGGGAGGCTGAGGCAGGAGAATTGCTTGAACCTGGGAGGCAGAGGTTGCAGTGAGCCAAGAAACTGTCTCAAAAAAAAAGAAAAAAAAAAAGAAAAAAGAGAAAGAAGGAAAGAAAGAAAGAAAGAAAAGTTCTAGTTTCTCACTTTACGAGAAATGGGTCAGCACTGTCTTTTCCATATCAACATAAAACAATTGTGTGGGCTCTTTGACTAAAAATATAAAATGTACCTGAGAAATGTATATACTAAGTTATTTTTAATCTTGATGAACTATTGCTTTACCAACATATTGGAAGCTGTGTTAGTAGTGGCCTAATTTTCCAGAATTTTGATGATGCATATATGTGAGTATATCTTAAGCTAATGAAACTAATTAATGGATTGTAAAATTTTCTCTTTTGCTTCTCCCTTTTCCATGCCAGTTTTCACATAAATAGGACAATATCTTCTTACTTTTCCTGTCATCATGAGAATGCTGGACTAAGAATTTATGGGCATTAACCCCCCCATCTATTTAACCACCTATATTACATGTGTCCCTGATGTAACCTGAGCAAACTTAGCAAGTCTTTTATTCTGGGTGAATGCCCCGCTTCACCCAAATCATGAATGCTCTTTGCTTCATGGAACTCTATTGCTTTTGTTCCCAGAACCAATTATATCTTAGCTAATCTCTTGCCCCTTTAATTATCCTTGATAGTTTTCCAAATAAAATATGCAATCTGTGAACACTTTATTAGTCCCACTCTCTGGTTTATCCATTCATGGGTAAGGATACAGAATTGTCTGAATCCAGCTTATTATAAATTCATTATTCTCAATTGTGCCCAATGACAAAATTTTCCTTGCCCTGGGTCAACAATATTCTCAGTCATCTCTACTATTTAACTGTAAATCTCAAACTATGTGCTGTTTAGAATTATATGTGCCTATCCCATTCTGCCGGACGTACGTGTTCTTTTCTCCATGAGATTTACATCCTGTAATGCTCTGATTCAGAATTTTGGGGCCCAATCCCTATTCATTTGTGTCTTAACAGTCTTTGAAGGGATGTTTGACTTCAAGGATTCCTTGAAGTTTCCCTCTGAGCAAAGGTGAGATGCCTTTTGATTCATGCTTGCGTCATTACTAGCCCAGGTTTAGCTGACTTTTTTAGTGTAGGATTTGCAATTAACACACAATAAAGGCTCTCTGAACTTTAGTCTCTTTTCGAGGGAAATAACCATAAACATACTGCCACTCAGTACAGATGGAGAGGTTAGTGAAAATAAGCAGCATTTATGAAGGCATGCCAGAAGGACTATGGGCCAGCCATTTTCTCTGGATACTGGAAATTCTTCCTGTAATGAAGCCAGACCTGCATAGAGTATTAATACTCAACCACACAAAATTCAGATCTTACAGAAGTGCTTTTACAAAATATTCTTACAAAGACTCAGAGGGGGAAATTACAAGAAAATATTCTGTGAAACATCAGATTATTTACTTAAAGTTATTGTTGATGGCCATTATTTTCAGTACTCTTAGAAAAAGGATAATGAGAGATTTTTTTATTATGCAGCTAAAAGGAATAGTTTTGCCTTTTATTGAACAAAACAATTGTGTGTATGTTCATTTAACTTCTGGAAGATCTGAATCATGTAATTGTATCTGTTTTTTTCTATTTGTGGATAGACAGAACACTTAGAGCCACATGTGGAATACATTGCTAGAAACTAATTCTTCTTGGCATGGACTTTGTATACTAACTTAGTCCCTGGTTTCAAAGAATTTTTATTTTTCTTTCATTTTGATGTCCTCATCTAATTAATTTTATTGTATTTCATTCTGTTGGGTTATATGCAATTATAAGGCACAAAGTCTTACTGAAAAAAGAACATGAAATAAGCAAATATGCAAAAAAGATTAATATTCTATGAACAGTTCATATCTCATGCTTATACATAACTATCAAAGCACACACAATACTTGACATTTTATACATGTTCAGCAAACATTTATTTACCAAATGAAGAAAACTAGGGATTGGAAAACAAAGCTGTTTCTTCAATATTTTTTATTTATTAAAAAATACTACTAGAGTTTGTAATCCTGGCTGACTTTTATCTCAAAAGAGTCAACTCTGTATTATTGAAGTGCAGATTAATGGTTTAAATATTAATTGCATCCAAAATTTACATATTCTTATATAATTAAAATATACACTATATTTTTGAAAAGTTTAATTATTAACGATCAGTTTAACAACTAGAGATATAAGAATATATATGCTATTGGAATTTGTGATTAGCAAATTCCACTTGGAGTCTGCAACGTACAATGACATGCAAATTCCATTTTCCATTGTTTGTATTGTATTTTTAAACATCAAAAGAAAAAATGTTTTTAACTTTAACTCTAATATAATGTTGTCAAATAAGTGAAAGAGTTGTTAGACTTTAAAAAAACACATTACAATAGTGAGAAGCAGAATAAGTTATTTGTGATATGAAAGAGAAAAATGATGAGTTAATATAATTTTAATTCCAGTTGAGTTAAGAAAATGAAAAAGTGCATCATTGTCTCTTCTACTTGCAAATGATATTTCTTCTATTTTTAAGAGAGTAAAATTTGTCTTTCAGTTGACAGTGAGTTACAGGTGAAAAGCTTTTACTCTGATGTTTTACAGAACTGCTAAAATGTCCATGTGTTATTCTATAGAGAATTGTAATAGAGTTTAGTAGTATAAAAGTGTGAAAGATGTTTTTTACCTTAATATATGATATTTACTTGGTTGAGTTATATAACATTCAAAAATAGAGAATTTGGAGCCTGAAAACCTTGATTTCAGTTTAGCCTCCACTACTTACTGGATTTGTGACCTTAAGCAAGTTATTTCATTTTTCTCAAACTGGGTTTCCTCTTAGATGAAAATAACAATATCTACCTTCCTTTCATGTGATTTATTGAGACCAAATTGGAGTAATAGATAGTATAACTAGAACTTGGTTTTAAGTTATTTAAACATTATTTACTAGGTAAAACTTGTGCCTGTATAAAAATGAGAAACTTTATCTCTGAATGCAGATGCCATGTTTTCATTATTTGATAGAGATAAATAAACATGGAAATTGTATTACAATTTATACCAAACTGCAAGGGGCCAGGTGAGTCAACCAAATTATACGGACATGTCAAAACATGCTGTTTTACTTTGTTTTCATACTGCTATAAAGAACTGCCAGAGACTGTGTAATTCATAAACGAAAGAGGTTTAACTGAATTACAATTAAGCATGGCTGGGGAGGCCTCAGGAAACTTAGGAAATCATAGCAGAAGTTGAAAGGGAAGCAAGGAAACTTCTTCACAAGGTGGCAGGAAGAAGTGCCGAGCAAAGCGGGGAAGAACTCCTTATAAAACCATCAGATAACCTGAGAACTCACTCACTATCACAAGAACAGCAAGGGGCAAACCACCCCCATGATTCAATTACCTCCACCAGGTCTCTCCCTTGCTAGGTGGGGATTACGGAGATAATAATTCAAGATGAGATTTGGGTGGGGACACAAAGCCTAACTATATCACATTGAGTGAATGCATGCATATTCTTAAATGCAAAAATTGTAAATACATATATAAATAGATAAATAGATGTTTAGTGGAATGTAGATTTCTCTAAATATCTATGCAATTTTCATGAATATGAGGTGCAGGAACAATAACATTAAGAGTATCTAATATTATCTCAGCTCATACTGGCTGTGGTGTAGAATTCATAAGAGGAAGGCAGATTAAGTTCCCATTTCTTAGCTATTCTTAATATAAAGCAGTTTTAAAAACCCTGGTTATAGGATCCTATGAGACAAGCCTTAAAGGTATCTGATTGATTTAGATATAAATGACATATGGTTTTTTTTCTTATTATCAAGATGTTTTTGTAAATCTCATCTTTTTAAAGTGTCTCTTAATACACTTCTCTTTTTAACATTGGCTTCTAGAAAAAAATAATGAAGTAAGAAAAGAAAAGGGATTCTACATCTTGAGTGAGAAATTGCCTTATAAAAATGAACAAATAGAGGCTGGATGCAGTGGCTCACACCTGTAGTCCCAGCACTTTGGGAGGCTGAGGCAGGCAGATCACTTTAGGTCAGGAGTTCAAACCCAGCCTGGCCCACATGGTGAAAACCCATCTCTACTAAAAATGCAAAAATTAGCCAAGTGTGGTGGCACGCACCTGTAATTTCAGCTACTTGGGAGGCTGAAGAAGAAGAATTGCTTGAACCCAGGAGGCGGATGCTGCAGTGCACTGAGATCACGCCACTGCACTCCATCCAGCCTGGGTGACAGAGCAAGACTCCTCCGTCTCAAAAAGCAACAACAATAACAACAAAAACAAATAGAATAAGTGAAGAGATTTGATCTTATAATTGGTTGGAATATCCCATAACACTGCACTGTTTATGTTTGCACAATAATGAAAGTTCATTGAGTACATGTTCACTGACATATATGGATCCTCAGAAATATATATCTTAAACATATATATAAGTATATATAAATGTATACTCATACGCATAACTCAGATGTATGCAAAGACTTCATATATCTAGAATGTATATTGTGTATATTCTATATAATATGTAATGGAGGTTGATAGACATAACCTTTTCTTGATGGTGTAGGTTAGAAATAACTGGTTCATTTAGGGTAGGGCAGATTTCACTTGCACTGATATGGACAAATCAGTGTTAATGACAGAATGCAATAGAGTCATCCTGCTATGTAAACAGAAGCATAGATAACAAATAATACAAAATATGATAAAAGTTTACCTCATTCATAACATCATTTATCTGACCCTTTCCCGCAATTTATCTGGCCTATCTGCCACCATTTAATTAAAAAAATTACAGTGATTATATCATGACTGCTTTCAAATCTCACTGTACAACTCTAAAAACATACACTTATTTGATAGCCTTGAATTTCAGCAGAAAAGATAATACTTATAAGAGGTATAGACTTTAAAATATATCATATTTGTGCAGAATATTTTAAGTTATAAATATGTATGCATAAGGCCTAGTTGATGTAACATTAGTATAGATGCTACAAATGCAAGTTCATTAAAGAATATTAAGATATTCTTCCCTGTAAATCTAAGGAAGCAAAACAATGGGAAATTTCTCAAAGATCTAAAGCAGGAGATGAAATAGGGACAAACTGAGTGTTTGCTCAACCGTAATTGTGAAGCAATCAGTTTAATTTTCTCACAGTTGATTTTGTTTAATTAGGAGATGACATTAGCTAACTTTGCAGTTCTACATCGTTGCAAAAAGGAAAGAGGAGGTTTTGACATATTGTGCCTTTACTATTAAAGAAATATCATTCAGTGAGTTTTTTGTACACATTTCTATTTGTGTGGTTTTTTTCACTGAAAATAATGCTTTTAAATTTCAGAATACAACAGCTTAACTTATCACATAATAGAGATATACATATTGTATATCCCTTTTAAAATTAGTGCTAATGTAGCATGAGGGAAATGTAATTCAACAAGCTCGGAGCCCCGGCCGAGCTTCGGAGCCCCGGCCCAGCCCCGGCCGCGCACGCGCAGTGACGCGCCGGCCATGCCGGCGGCTGTTGTCGGGCCTCCAGCGGGCGGGGCCGTTGGCGGAGCAGAGCGGAGGCGCAGCCGGGCGGAGGGCCCACGAGGGCTCAGCCTTCCCGGTCAGCGGTGGTGACGGTATCCCAGAGTGCCAGAGAACCGTTGCTTTTCCGAGTTGCTCTTCTTCCAGGCTCCGTTGGTGGTCGGCATGGCCCGTGAGTGGGGGTGGGAAGCGGCGGCGAGCGTCCGGCGTGGGAGCCTAGCGCTGAGGCGCGGCGGGCGGGGGAGGCGGAGTCCGGCTGGAGAATCCCCCTGGGTCGCGCAGTGCGGGGATCCCCGCTTCAGTCGGCAGAGAGAGAGCTCGCGGGTGGTTCCGGTCCGGCTTTTCAGGCCGGACGGGTGCCTGCCCCTCAGGTGCGAGTTTGTGCGGTAAAGAACACACCCCGGAGATGTGGACACGGCCGCCCCAGGAGGGTCCTTGTTTGGAGGTACTTTATAGCTGATACCTCAAGTCTTAAGGCCTAATGAGGACCGGGAACTCCAGTGAGTCGCCTCCCTAGTTCTTTTGTTTGGCGCTCGCAGGTAGTAGCCGAATAAACAGGAGGCTTTAGAGCCGGTCCTAAATTTGATGTTCGTTTGTACCAGTCCTAGGTGTTAGGTCAGTCTGTTCTGCAAAATGAAAACAATGAAGCCTACCTTGCAGGGTTGTGGCTAGAATAAGGATGTAAAGGCCCACACTGCCTTTCGCAGACTTACCTTCAATCTGTTCAGTCTCCATCCACCCCTCTCCGCCTCTGCATGGGGATAAAGGTAACTCTCAAGTGATGGGCTGAACTTGTGATCTCTGTATCTAGCTTTCTCTTCCACCCACTCCCCTCAAAAGCCAGAACTTATTTTGGGATACCGGCCCAAGATTCGAATATCTGTTTTAAAATATCTGGTATTTATAGCTAGTGACCACCTAGATTGGTATGATAATACTCTTAAGTCTTTAAGTGTTTAAGCCACTTCCTTATTGTCAGATCTAGGAGCACCATCAATCTGTTACTCTGCTAGTTTATCTATGAAAACACAAACTAAAGATGCATTTAAATAAGGCCTGTTTATTGGAATTATTAATAATTTTGGAGATGGGAAAAGAGCATGACTGTTTGACTTTGTAGGTGGAAATCAACGAGAACTTGCCCGCCAGAAAAACATGAAGAAAACCCAGGAAATTAGCAAGGGAAAGAGGAAAGAGGATAGCTTGACTGCCTCTCAGAGAAAGCAGAGGTACGTGGTACTAATTTAATTCTAAAGTCACTGACGTTGTGATTGAAGCAACATTTTGGGCTGGGTGTGTTGCCTCATGCCTGTAATCCCGGCAGTTTGGGAGAGTCGGGAGAACTGCTTGAAGCCAAGAGTTTGAGACCAACTTGGACAACATAGCCAGCCCCTGTATCTACAAAATATTTTTTTAAATTGGCCAGGCATGGTAGCACATGGCTGTGGTCTCGGCTACTCTGGAGGCTGAGGCGGGAGAATCGCTTGAGCCCAGGAGGTTAAGGCCGCAGTAAGCTGCGATTGCACCACTGCACTCCAGCCTGGATGGCAGAGTTAGACCCTGTCTCAAAAAAAAAAAAAAAAAAAAAAAAAAAGAAGGCCTCATTTTGGGGAACAGAAAGCATTTTGTTAAGCCCTTGGTAGAACAGGGCCTAATGATTTGTGCCAGGCGGACTAAAACCACGTGGGGTAGACATCCCAACATATAGATAAAAACGTAAAGCTCTGAAGCTATTATTTGTTTCACAGAGACTCATGCAGCTCCTCCACAACCATAAGAACTTTTTATAGGCTGGGCGCGGTGGCTCACGCCTGTAATCTCAGCACTTTGGAAGGCCAAGGTGGGTGGATCACCTGGGGTCAGGAGATCGAGATCAGCCTGACCAACATAGTGAAACCCTATCTCTACTAAAAATACAAAATTAGCTGGGTGCAGTGGCACATGCCTGTAATCCCAGTTACTTGGGAGGCTGAGGCAGGAGAATCGCTTGAAACCGGGAGGGGGAGGTTGCAGCGAGTGAAGATTGTGCCATTGCAATCCAGCCTGGGTACTGAGCGGGAAACTCTGTATCAAAAAAACAAAACAAAACAAAAAAAAACAACTTTATTCAGCAAAATAACATCTTCTATATGCAAAACACTGTGAGGTGCTAGAGTTACAACATTTTCAAAGTAGACAGCCTACCCAAACTACTCTGAATGACAAGGGACTCAATTATTAATATATAATGATAATAGTTCTCAAGAAGATACAAAAAAGTATATGCATAATAGCTAGCTGTGCTGATTTCTGAAGATCCATTGCATTGGAGAGAATTCATGTGCATAGCCTTAATATATGACTATATGTGCCAATGTAAAACTGCTACAGAAATACTTTAGACTGCAGCTTAAGTAAAAAAAAGTACACTCATGTTTCTAAAAGAGCTAATCAAAGCTTAATTTTATTCTCAAATGATTTTGTCCATATGGAACTTGGAGGTTAAGCGAATAACTGACTGCATGTGCTTCAGTGTGGCTTGTTAGGGGTTCTCAATCCTGGCTGCACATTAGAATCACCTGGGAAACCTTGACAGCTACTCAAGCCTTGCGTTATGCTCAGTTTTGATTTTTTGTTTTTTTAAAAAATTGAATTACAATAGTTGTACATATTTTGGGGGTACATGTGATCTTTTAATACCTGTATGTGGGCTGGGTAGTCCCAGCCACTTGGGAGGCTAAGGCAGGAGAATCACTTGAACCTGGGAGGCGGAGGTTGCAGTGAGCCGAGATCCTGCCATTGCATTCCAGCCTGGGTGACAGAGTGAGACCCTGTCTCAAAAAAACAACAACAAAAAGAAACTGGCTTGGCGTGGTGGCTCATACCTGTTAGCCCAGCACTTTGGGAGGCCGAAGCGGGTGGATTACCTGAGGTTGGGAGCTCAAGACCATTCTGACCAACATGGAGAAACCCCATCTCTACTAAAAATACAAAATTAGCCAAGTGTGTGGCCGGGCGCGGTGGTTCACGCCTGTAACCCCAGCACTTTGGGAGGCCCAGGCGGGCGGATCACGAGGTCAGGAGATCGAGACCATCCTGGTTAACACGGTGAAACCCCGTCTCTACTAATAATACAAAACTTAGCCGGGCGAGGTGGCAGGCGCCTGTAGTCCCAGCTACTTGGGAGGCTGAGGCAGGAGAATGGCGTGAACCCGGGAGGCGGAGCTTGCAGCGAGCCGAGATCGTGCCACTGCCCTCCAGCCTGGGTGACAGAGCGAGACTCCGTCTCAAAAAAAAAAAAAGCCAACTGTGGTGGCGAACACCTGTAATCCTAGCTACTCGGCAGGCTGAGACAGGAGAATCACTTGAACCTGGGAGGCGGAGGTTGCGGTGAGCTGAGATCTCGCCATTGCACTCCAGCCTGGACAACAAGAGTGAAACTCCGGCCGGGCGCGATGGCTCATGCCTGTAATCCCAGCACTTTGGGAGGCCAAGGCAGGAAGATCACGAGGTCAGGAGATCGAGACCACGGTGAATCCCTGTCCGTACTAAAAATACAAAAAATTAGTCGGGCGCAGTGGCGGGCGCCTGTAGTCCCAGCTACTCGGGAGGCTGAGGCAGGAGACTGGCGTGAACCCGGGAGGCGGAGCTTGCAGTGAGCTGAGATCGCGCCACCGCACTCCAGCCTGGGCGACAGAGCGAGACTCCGTCAAAAAAAAAAAACCTTTATGTGTACAATGTGTAATGATCAAATCGGGGTAATTGGGATATCTCTATGCTCAAACATTTATCTTTCATCCAGTTCTGATTTAATTGGTCAGAGGTCGAGCATTAAAAAGCACCCTAGGTAAATTTTACTGTACTTAGGTTATGCCTTTTTTTTTTTTTTAAAGGCAGAGTCTTATTCTGTTGCCCATGCTGGAGGGCAGTGGCGTGATCTCGGCTCACTGCAACCTCCACCTCCTGGGCTTAAGCGATTCTCCTGCGTCAGCAATCCAAGTAGCTGGAATTGCAGGCGTCCGCCACCATGCCCAGCTAATTTTTGTATTTTTAGTAGAGACTGGGTTTCACCGTGTTGGCCAGGCTGGTCTCAAACTACTGACCTCAAGTGATCCACCCGCCTCGGCCTCCCAAAGTGCTGGGATTACAGGCGTGAGCCACCACGCTGGCCCAGTTATACCTTTTTTTTTTTTTTTTGAATTTTTTTTTTATTATTACGCTTTAAGTTCTAGGGTATATATGCACAACGTGCAGGTTTGTTACATAGATATACATGTGCCATGTTGGTTTGCTGCACCCATCAACTCATCATTTACATTAGGTATTTCTCCTGATGCTATCCCTCCCCCAGCCTCCCAGCACACCCAGTTATACCTTAAACTGAACTTAAAACAGCTCCCAGGTGATTCTAATGTGCAGCCACTATTAAGAGTCATTGATAAATGAGATTAAAGACCTTAATTTAAGGCAAAGGTCCTGACACCTTTTTTTTTTTTTTCCCAGATATGGCGTCTTACTCTGTGACCCAGACTGGAGTGCAGTGCCACAGTCTCGGTTCACTGCAAGCTCTGCCTCCCAGGCTCAAGTGACCCTCCCACCTCAGCCTTCTGAGTAGCTGGGACTACAAGGGCACACCACCAAGCCCAGATAGTTTTTATATTTTTTGTAGAAACGGGGTTTCATCATGTTGTCCAGGCAGGTCTTGAACTTCTGGGGTCAAGTGATTTGCCCACCTCAGTCCCCCAAAGTGCTGGAATTACAGGTGTGAGCCACTATGCCCGGCCCTAACATTTATTATTAAAGTGATAAGCTTTGTCTTCAATTTCTGTTGACTCACATTAGAGTAAAAATGAACATGGTATGAATCAGTGACCCTGCAATAGTATTTTTATTGGAGAACCTAGTCTAGCTTGGTTCAGAAATTGTCATTGTTTACCAGATATGCACTCCTTATAAAATTCTATGCTAGACATTCTATATACATTATTCTTTATTCATCATAACTCTGAAAAATGGTATTAGCACTAATCTGTAGAATAGGAAACTGAGGCTCTGAACTTCAGTAACATTACTAAAGTTACACAGCAAGCACAACAGAGCTTGGTTTCAAATAGAGAAGTAACTGTCATGGTTCTTTTTCCACTGTACTTCATTTCTTTATAGCTATGTTTTTGTTTTTGTTTTAGTGAAAGCAAGTTTATTAGGAAAGTAAAGAAATAAATATTGGCTACTTTATAGGCAGAACAGCCTGTAGCTGTGTTATTTTGCCTTTCTTCTTTATTTTTATTTTATTTTATTTTATTTTATGTTTTTGAGACGGAGTTTCGCTCTTGTTGCCCAGGCGGAGTACAATGGCGCAATCTCAGCTCACCGCAACCTCCACCTCTCGGGTGCAAGTGATTCTCCTGCCTCAGCCTCCCAAGTAGCTGGGATTACAGGCATGCACCACCATGCCTGGCTAATTTTGTATTTTTAGTAGAGATAGGGTTTCTCCATGTTGCTCAGTCTGGTCTCAAACTCTCGACCTCAGGTGGTCCGCCTATCTCAGCCTCCCAAAGTGCTGGGGTTACAGATGTGAGCCACTGGCCTATTTTGCCTTTCTTCTATTCCCTTGTTTTTGCTATTGGCTTTACAGAAATATCTTACCATCATGGCTGTGGAAATCAGTTTAGCATTTCCTCAAAAAGTTAAAACAGGCCAGGCTCAGTGGCTTACACTTGTAAATCCAGCACTTTGGGAGGCCGAGGCGAGCGGATCAACTTGAGGCCAGGAGTTCGAGACAAGCCTGGCCAACATGGTGAAACCCTGTCTCTACTAAAAATACAAAAATTAGGTGGGCTTGGTTGCACATGCCTGTAATCCCAGCTACTTGGGAAACTGAGGCAGGAGACTCGCTTGAACCAGGGAGGTGGAGGTTGCAGTGAGCAAAGATTGTGCCACTGCACTGCAGCCTGGGCAACAGAGCAAGACTCTGTCTCAAAAAAATAAATAAAAAATTAAAAAGTTTGAAACATGAGGTTAATAAGTCAGAGTTGTGGGACTTTAACCAGAGCTGGTAGAGTGCTTGACACACAGTAGATGTTGAATGCATGGCCGTTTAGTCTGTTTTTAAAATATGGGTCCATGGACTCATGAATCACCTAACCCAGGTAGTCTGGTCATAGTTCACAGTTTATATGGCATGTGTCAGTTTGACTGGAGATGAGAAGGGTTAAGGGCTGGGCGCAGTGGCTCACACCTGTAATCCCAGCACTTTGGGAGACTGAGGCAGGCGGATCACAAGGTCAGGAGTTCGAGACCAGCCTGGCCAATATGGTGAAACCTCGTCTCTACTTAAAATGCAAAAATTAGTCGGGTGTGGTGGCGCATGCCTGTAGTCCCAGCTACTCAGGAGGCTGAGGCAGAAGAACTGCAAGCAGGAAGTGGAGGTTGCAGTGAGCCAAGATCGTTCCACCGCACTCCAGCCTGGGGGACAAAGCGAGACTCCGTCTCAAAAAAAAAAAAAAGTACCCTGAACATCCAGCTTTTCTTTATTGTAATCCAGTTTTAGTGACTAGCTTTTGGGCTTTTTTGCTTGTAAGAAACTGAAATCCTTCATAATATCTATGTTCTAGTCGTAGATACCAGTTAGGATACCTAGGAGAGTTCTTAAATGCCTCTTCTTTCAAGGAAAAAAATTAGAATGAATTAACTAGTTAACAACCAAGAGTAATAGCTATTATTTCTACATGTAGCTGCCTAATGTCACACACTTTTATATATTCATAGTGATTCCTTGTAACAACCTTGATACATATTGCCCGGATTTTGAAAGGGCTTTGAGGTTATTTGCCCAAGGTCATGATAACAGAGATGGTATTCAGAATAAGATCTGACTTCAAAGCCTTTCCAGTCTGTCTTTCCATTTTGTCTCCAGCCATGAAAATGGAAAGACAAAAAAGTTTATATCCTCTTTTAAATTGTCTTCTAATACACTGAATGGGTTATGTGTAGAAACCAAGTGAGAATATATAATTGGTTTTTCTGTAACAACTTATAGACTTTTCCCTCATTGTAGGGACTCTGAGATCATGCAAGAAAAGCAGAAGG
Source organism: Homo sapiens (assembly GCF_000001405.40). NCBI lineage: Eukaryota > Metazoa > Chordata > Mammalia > Primates > Hominidae > Homo > Homo sapiens. The sequence continues at coordinate 257,687 of NT_187651.1, forward strand.
CAGCTAATGAGAAGAAGTCTATGCAGACAAGAGAAAAGTGATGACTGGCTATTTGGAAAACCTGGGTGCTACTGCCAACTGGGTGTATCATAAGCTCTAAGATCAAGATTTTGTAGAGTGGACAGTCATTACATATGTTATAACTTATCCTTTAAAAACTATTTTAAACTTTATCCTTTCAGCTTTACTTAGTGCGATGTTTTAGAAGCAGTCTTCAAAGAATAAAACACTAACCATGCATGTGACATATTGGTGAACATTATTTTTATTATTGAACATTCATATATAATTTATTAGGTAATATGATCAGATAATAGGATCTCTTATATAATAAAGAATCTTTGTCATCAGCTTTGTTAACATAGTTTTTTTTTCCTCACAGTTTCTAAGGATAAGGATAAAGTAGATCTTTGAAGTAAACTTAAATATATAATAGAAGTTAGGGTCCATTTGTATAATTTTGCTTTGAAATCAAGTTAAAGGGCCAGGTGCGGTGGCTTATGCCCACAATCCCAGCACTTTGGGAGGCCGAGGCGGGCGGATCACTTGAGGTCAGGAGTTTGAGACCAGCCTGACCAACATGATGAAACCTCATCTTTACTAAAAATACAAAAAAAAAAAAAAAAAAAAAAATAGCCAGGTGTGTGGTGGCACATGCCTGTAATCTCAGCTACTCGGGAGGCTGAGGCAGGAAAATCGCTTGAACCCAAGGCAGAGGTTGCAGTCAGCAGATATTGCACCACTGCACTCCAGCCTGGGCAACAAAGCAAGACTCTGCCTCAAAAAAAAAAAAAAATCAACTTACAAAGCTTGCTTGAACAATTTACAACAGATACTTCAAACCACTGGAATAGAAACTAAGTGGATGTAAACTGAGGTCTCAGTTCTACTTATAGCTTTAACATTTTTTGGAATGAGTACCATATTTTCTGTTCTCAGCCTCTTCTAAAACTTGAGTCTTGATGGTAGTTATAAATTTGGAAATATGTAACCTAGAGAAATTAAGGTTTGAGACCTTGCTGCACTCTGAAGTAAACACAAAACTATGTCAGAGAGAATAAAAATGCCATTGTAGTAGTAAATAGAATAACTTAAAGTATTCTACAAATACTTGATTTTTCACATAATGCAATTTAACAAATTTTTCTGATCACCCAATATGTCAACCACTATCTGAATGGACAGATCTTGAAGTTAGCCTAACACAATATCTTGTGATTTGTCTCTTACCAGTGGTACCACCCATAAATAGGCTAGAATTTTTTGTGTCTAATACTGAATTCGACAACCAGGAAGTTTTTTGGGTTTTTGTGGGGTGTTTTTTTTTTTTTTGAGACAGAGTCTTGCTCTCTCGCCCAGGCTAGAGCGCAGCAGTGCCATCTCGGTTCACTGCAACCTCCGCCACCTGAGTTCAAGCGATTCTCCTGCCTCAGCCTCCTGAGGAGCTGGGACTACAGGCGCCCGCCACCACGCCCGGCTAATTTTTGTGTTTTTAGAAGAGATGGGGTTTCACCATTTTGGCCAGGCTGGTCTCAAACTACTAACCTCAGGTGATCCACCCTTCTTGGCCTCCCATAGAGCTGGGATTACAGGCGTGAGCCATCCCACCCGGCTGAAGTTTTTTAGCCTGAGTTTCTATCTTCATATTAGCCTAGATTTTTCATTAAATTAAAACATTGTTCTGGATCTTTGGTTAACTTTAGTCTTCAGAATATTCTATGATGGTAGTCACAAAGGCAAAAATTAAGTAGCTTAAGTTACATTCTAATAAAAGAAATAATAAAGAAATCTGATTGTACCACAAAGATTCTTTGTGGGCCTGGTTTCTGTAATTCTGTCTCCAGAATTTCTACACAGACTAATAAGCCATAAGTACAAAAAAACTTTTCATGCTTTAAGCTCTTTTCTTTGCCTTTTTTTTTAAATGAATAATTTCTTTAGTTTATCCTGTGGAATGGAAGAACTTTAGACCTTTTAATTCTTATAAATCGAGGGAAAGCTACGTTTCCAAAATAAAATGGATATTAGAATAAGGAAGATCTCTAGTTTGTAATCAATCATTAGTACTTTTTTTTTTTTTTTTTGAGGCAGGATCTCGCCTTGTCACCCCGGCTGAGTGCAGTGGCACGAACGTGGCTCACTGCAGCCTCAACCTCCTGGGCTCAAGTGATCCTCCTGCCTCAGTCTCGTCTCCCAAGCAGTTGGGACTACAGGCGCATGCCACCACGTCAGGCTGATTTTTATATTTTTGGTAGAGATAGGGGTTTTGCCATGTTGCCCAGGCTGGTCTCCAACTCCTGAGCTCAAGTGAGCCACCTTCCACCTCTGCCCAAAGTGCTGGGATTACAGGCGTGAGCCACCATGCCTGGCCATTCTTGATTAATTTTTATGGCATTTAATTAAATAAATTTATTGTTAAGAGGTTTGATTTTTAACTGCAATATGACCAGATGTTTCCTCAAAGCAGGCGGAAAAATTATCGGAGAGGAAGAAAATTAAGTCTAATTGTTGGAGTATATTGACACCTATCATGTGGTATATTGTAATATATATATATATGCAATACATTGACACCAATCATGACACCACCATGTGGTATAGTTAAGGTAACTAAAAGTAGCTGAACTTATAAAGAGGGAAACAGGTCAATTATAGGATACTAAGGGAAAATACAGGTGAATAGCTTTTTTTTTTTTTTTTTTTTTTTTTTTTGAGACTGTGTCTTGCTTGCTCTGTTGCTGAGGCTGGAGTACAGTGGCACAATCTCGGCTGACTGCAACCTCTGCATCCCGGGTTCAAGCAATTCTCCTGCCTCAGCCTCCCAAGTAGCTGGGATTACAGGCGTGCACTACCACACCCAGCTAGTTTTTTTGTATTTTTAGTAGAGACAGGGTTTCACCATGTTAGCCAACCTGGTCTCAAACTCCTGATCTCAAATGATCTGCCTGCTTCGGCCTCCCAAAGTGCTGGGATTACAGATATGAGCCACCATGCCCATCCCTGGAGAATAATTTTAATTATTATTATTATTATTATTATTATTTTTTTTTGAGACGGAGTTTCGCTCTTGTTGCCCAGACTGGAGTGCAGTGGCGTGATACTGGCTCACCGCAACCTCTGCCTCCCGGGTTCTCCCACCTCAGCCTCCCGAGTAGCTAGGATTACAGGCATGAGCCACCACGCCCGACTAATTTTGTGTTTTTAGTAGAGACGGGGTTTCTCCATGTTGGTCAGGCTGGTCTCGAACTTCTGACCTCAGGTGATCCGCCCACCTCGGCCTCCCAAAGTGCTGGGATTACAGGCATGAGCCACCACGCCCAGCCTTAGGAGAATAATTGTAAAAAGTAAATTCATGTAATGATTTTATTTAGTTTGGATATTGTTAGGGCTTGTTGCTAAAGAAAGATAAAATTATTAGGTGAGATAGTACCAGATTTAGAATATAATTTGGAAAATACCAAACTCCATGGAACCCTCCCTTTAAACATCAAAAATCGTATTTTGCATCATTCTTAGGAGGTAGTGCGTTATCATTAGCAATTTTCATTAAGTCCTGCTGAAAATGAGAAGCAGCAGCCATTACTGCCCAAGATACACTGTGGTCAGTTTTATCAGTTACTTTTTTTTTTTTTTTAAACAGAGTCTCGCTTTGTCATCCAGGCTGGAGTGCAATGGTGCGATCTCCGCTCACTGCAACCTCCACTTCCGTGCCTGGCTAATTTTTTGTAGTTTTAGTAGGGATGGGGTTTCACCATCTTGGCTAGGCTGGTCTCGAACTCCTGATCTCAAGTTATCCACTCGCTGGCCATCAGTCATTTATTTTTGAATGCCTCTTCTATTAGTAGCATGTGTAAGAAATTGTGATCCATTTATCAAACTAGCCAGTTTTTGAAAATAGGGCTAAAAGGAAACGTTGATTTCTGACATTTTCCAAAAACTTAAAAAATTTTTATATAGGCTGGGCACAATAGCTCACGCCTGTAATCCCAGCATTTTGGGAGGCCGAGGCAGGTGGGTCATTTGAGCTCAGGAGTTTGAGACCAGCCTGGGCAACACAGAAAAACCTCATCTCTACCAAAAAAAAAAAAATTAGGTGGGTGTGGTGGTGCACGCCTGTAGTCCCAGCTACTTGGGAGGCTAAAGTGGGAGGATCACCTGAACCCAGAAGGTCAAGGCTGCAGTGAGCCGAGATTGCACCACTGCCCTCCACCCTGGGTGATAAGAGTGGGACCCTGTCTCAAAACATACACACACACACACACACACACACACACACACACACACTCTCTCTCTCTCTCTCTCTCTCTCTCTCTCTCTCTCTCTCAAAAACACTTGGTCTGTTATTTTTACGAAATTGTCAGTCATAGTTATCTGTTAGACCAAAGCTGAGTAAGAACATTTATTACATTGCCTCCTACAACTTCATCAGCTAATGTATTTGCTATATAGCAATTACATATTGGAATATATTATCTTTAGAGATGGCCAAGTCATAAAACTGTCACTGAGAAAAGGAGAATGACAATGTGTATGCTCAAATGTACTTCCCTATAAATTTCCAAAAGACATGAAACTTACTACAGGTTTGTTTTTTTCACACCTTCACTTCTTAAAAACAAAAAAACTTTTACATAGCAGTAACTAATGCACATTAAAAGTTTATAAATAGCCTGCTATTGGATCATTTGCTTGGAAAAGTTGAGATTTTCAAATTTGATTATAACATAACTTTTGTAGAAATACACGGCCAGGTGCAGTAGCTCACATTTGTAATCTCAGCACTTTGGGAGGCTGAGGTGGGAGGATCGCTTGAGGCCAGGAGTTTGAGACCAGCCTGGGCAACATGACAAAACCCCATCTCCTCAAAAAGCACAAAAATTAGCCAGATGTGGTGGTGCACACCTGTAGTCCCAGCTACTTGGGGGACTGAGGTGGAAGGATGGTTTGAGTCTGGGAAGTTGAGGATGCAGTGAGCCAAGGTCATGCCACTGCACTCCAGCCAGGGTGACAAAGTGACACCCTGTCTCAATATAATAATTTTAAAAAGGTGCCTGTAATCCTAGCACTTTGGGAGGCCAAGGCGGGCGGATCACGAGGTCGGGAGTTCAAGACCAGCCTGGCCAATATGGTGAAACCCGTCTCTACTAAAAATACAAAAATTAGCCAGGTATGGTGGTGTGTGCCTGTAATACCAGCTACTTGGGAGGCTGAGGCAGGAGAATCGCTTGAACCCGGGAGGTGGAGATTTCAGTGAGCCGAGATTGCACCACTGCACTCCAGTCTGGGTGACAGAGCAAGACTTCATCTCAAAGAAATAAATAAATAAAAAACAAGGCCGGGCATGGTGGCTCATGCCTATAATCCAGCACTTTGGGAGGCTGAGGCTGAGGTGGGCAGATCACCTGAGGTCAGGAGTTCAAGACCAGCCTGGCCAACATGGTGAAACCCCGTCTCTACTAAAAATACAAAAATTAGCCAAGCGTGGTGGTGGGCGCCTGTAATCCCAACTACTTGGGAGGCTGAGGCAAGAGAATTTCTTGACTCTGGGAGGCAAAGGTTGCAGTGAGCCGAGACTGCACCACTGCACTCTAGCCTGAGCAACAGAACAAGACTCTGTCTCAAAAAAAAAACAAAAAAAAAAACATACAAACCGAATTTCCATTCCACATACTACTCTTGCTGTTTTACCACTTGGACAAGACTGCTTGCTGGTACATAAGTTCTGGAACACTTCCTTGCAGCAGTCTGGCTGAGCCTTGGTATTTAAAAGAAATTTACCTACCAGCCTGGCTATAATTGACATAATCCTATTAAATACTTGCCTTTTATGAACATATATCACATGACATAAGTTTTTGTCAAATACTTTTTTTTTTGGTCAAAGACTGTAGCCTTATACCACTCAAGGGGGCTGTTAGGGTAGCTTATGAATGGATATTTCATACAGAGTTACGTATTTAACCCATTTCCTGTTTAGAAAATAAAAGTGGCCAGGCGCCGTGGCTCACGCCTGTAATCCTAGCACTTTGGGAGGCCGAGGTGGGTGGATCACGAGGTCAGGAGATCGAGACCGTCCTGGCTAACATGGTGAAACCCCGTCTCTACTAAAAATACAAAACATTAGCCGGGCATGGTGGCAGGCGCCTGTAGTCCCAGCTACTCGGGAGGCTGAGGCAGGAGAAAGGCATAGACCCGAGAGGCGGAGCTTGCAGTGAGCCGAGATCATGCCACTGCACTCCATGCACTCCAGCCTGGGCGACAGAGTGAGACTCCGTCTCAAAAAAAAAAAAAAGAAAAAAAGAAAAAAAAAGTGCAGCTGGCTGCCAGCGCTCATTTAATTTTACATAAACACACTCTGAGGTTGACGCAAATTAATTTTCAATGTGAAAATACACAAACTGTTCTTAGAGTTATTTCTAAACAGAACTTGTCTCTAATCCTAATATAATGGAAATGTATATAATGTTACATTAGGATTAGAGGCAAGAGTATTCTTGGGGCAAACGGGAAATGGGTTAGTATATACTTGAAGTAATATAACCACATCTAACCTGATTTCATGATATATTGGAATTTTTGGTTGCAAGCAACAGGATCAGATTAATGAACTTACTGATAAAAATCTTATTTGAAAGAATGAGAGACTCCAGAGTCATGGAAAAGTTGAGGACTCAAGGCTTTGGAAAGGTCAAGAATTGTAACAGTTTCAGGTATCTTAAGAGTAGGTGTTATGAGGTGTTTGTTTTTGTTTTTTTTTCTTACGGTGCTGATATCAGGTTGAACTTCTGACATGTATATTTAGTTTTTATGTCACTTGGAGTGCCTCCAACTGAAGTTACATGGGTTAGGTACCCATCCCTCAGCAAGAGGAGGGCAAGTTGATGGTAAAACCAACTCTAGTAAGGAGTAGGTGGTCCCCTGTATTAGTCCGTTCTCATGCTGATAATAAAGACATACTCGAGACTGGATAATTTATAAAGGAAAGAGGTTTAATTGACTCACAGTTGTGTATGGCTGGGGAGGCCTCAGGAAGCTTACAATCATGGCAGAAGGGGAAGCAAATACATCCTTCTTCACATGATGGCAGGAAGGAGAAGTGCAAAGCAAAAGGGGAAAAGCCCCTTATGAAACCATCAGATCTCCTGAGAACTCACTCACTATCATGAGAACAGCATGAAGGTAACCACCCCCATGATTCAATTACCTCCCACCAGGTCCCTCCCATGACACATGGGAATTATAGGAGCTACAATTCAGGATGAGATTTGGGTTGGGGACACAGCCAAACTATATCATCCCCCAAAAAATTTAGGGTTCTTTGCCAAAAGGAAGGGAGAATGGATGCTGAGCAGACTAAAATAATATATTTTAATCCCTCTTATTGAAAAGCTAAGACTAAATTTTTAAAATTGTATGTTTTTGTTTTTTTGAGACGGAGTGTCGCTCTGTCGCCCGGCTGGAGTGCAGTGGCGCGATCTCAGCTCACTGCAACATCCACCTCCCGAATTCAAACAATTCTCCCACCTCAGCCTCCTGAGTAGCTGGGACTACAGGAGCATACCACCATGCCCAGCTAATTTTTGTATTTTTAGTAGAGATGAGGTTTCACCATATTGGTCAGGCTGGTCTCGAACTGACCTCAGGCAATCTACCCACCTTGGCCTCCCAAAGTGCTGGGATTACAGGCATGAGCCACCACGCCCAGCTAATTCTGTATTTTAAGTAGAGACGGGGTTTCACCATGTTGGTCAGGCTGGTCTCGAACTCCTGACCTCAGGTGATCCGCCAGCCTTGGCCTCCCAAAGTGCTGGGATTACAGGCGTGAGCCACCGAGCCTGGCTGTATTTTTAAATACAAAAATTTGCCAGGTATTGTGATGGGTGCCTGTAATCTCAGCTACTCGGGAGGCAGAGGCCGGAGAGTCACTTGAACCCAGGAGGTTGCAGTGAGCTGAGATCACACCACTGCACTGCAGCCTGGGTGACAGAATGAGACTCCATCTAAAAAAAGAAAAAAATGTATTTTTTAAAATACATGATATGGCAAATCATAAAGGTGGTAAGCATCTGAAGTGTGAGAAATAATCATGCAGCTTATGCAGTTTTTGTCTCTACCAATCTTTCAAACCCTCAAACTGCAATGCTTGCTCATTATAGAAAATCTGGGAAAATACAGTAAGTTCTAAATTTCCATAAATTCTAAATAGCATCTCTTTGAAAACTAACTCCTTGGGCATTTATCCCAGTGAAATGATAATAAACAGCCAGCATTTGAAATGTATATTTCAATGACTCGTATATGAATACTATGTTCAGATCACAATAAAGGACATTTCCAGCACCCTCTTAGATAATGCCTCCCATCTGATTATCACCATAGATTAGTTTTGCCTGTTTTTGAATTTTTTGTAAATGGGATCACACGGTATGTGCTGTAGTGAGCCTAGCTTGATTTGCTCAACGTTACGTCTAAAAGAATTCTCTATTTTGCTGCTATGCAGCAGTTCAGCCTTTTTCACTGTTGTGTAGCATTCTGTTATATGAATATACCATAATTTAGTTACTCTACATTTCATGGACCTTTGAATTGCTCCCACTTTGGGGCTGTTATGAATAATGCTACCGTAACATTTTTATATATCTTATGATGGTCTTAAACACGCTATCTACTGAGTATATGCCAGGAATGGAATTGCTGGGTCATAGGGTGTGTGTCTATACACACACATACACACATTTTTTAGTAGGTACCATCAAACAATTGCATTTTTGTTGTTTTTGTTTTAGTTTGTTTTTAATGACCATACCATTTTACCACCAGCAATAAAGGAAGGTTCCATTGCTCCATACCAGCATTAGGTATTATCAGTCCTTTTATCTTTAACCATATTGGTGGGAGGTAGTGGTATCTCATTGTAGTCTTAATTTACTTCCATATACTTAATTTAAATACACTCAATTTATATACACACACGTATACTCTCTCAGCCTTCAGTAAGCCAGTCCCATTCCCCTGAACTAACCAATGTTAATAATGGTATACTTCTCTCAGTGCTCATGCAAACATGCATACACACACATACACATAAATAAGGGGTGTGGGAATGTATTTGATTCTGAGAGCTGCTGTAACAAATTACCACAAACTTAGTGGCTTAAAACAACAGAAATATTTCTGTTCACAGTTCTGGAGGCCAGAAATCTGAGAGCAAGATGTCAGCTGGGCCACACCTCCCTCTGAAGGCTCCAAGGGAGAATCCTTGCTTTCCTCTTCCAGCTGCTGGTGGCTCCAGGTATTACTTGGCTTATGGCAGCATAACTCCTATCTCTGCCTTTGTCTTTGTGGTCTTCTTTTCTGTCTTCTTCCCTTCTTTTTATGAGGACTTTTGCTGTTGGATTTAGGTTCCATTCTAACCTAGGATGATCTCATTTGGAAATCCTTAATTTCATCTACAAAAACTGTTTTCCCAAATAGGTCACATTCACGCATATCAGATGGACAGATGTATCATTTTGGGGTCCACCATTCAACCCACTACAAGGAGTTTTTTAAACAAAAATAGGAAACTTAGATGTAACTTAGCACTTTTTTTTTTTTTTTTTGAGATGGAGTCTCACTCTGTCACCAGACTGGAGTGCAGTGGCGCCATCTCAGCTCCATGCAACCTCTGCCTCCTGGGTTCAAGCAGTTCTCTTGCCTCAGCCTCCTGGGTAGCTGGGATTACAGGCACGCGCTGCCACACCCAGGTAATTTATTTATTTTTTTTTTGAGACAGAGTCTCGCACTGTTGCCCAGGCTGGACTGCAGTGGCGTGATCTCTGCTCACTGCAACCTCCGCCTCCCGGGTTCAAGCGATTCTCCAGCCTCAGCTTCCTGAGTAGATGGGATTACAGGCGCCTGCCACCACGCCCAGCTAATTTTTTGTATTCTTAGTAGAGATGGGGTTTCACCATGTTGGCCAGGCTGGTCTCCATCTCCTGACCTCGTGATTCACCCGCCTCGGCCTCCCAAAGTGCTGGGATTACAGGCGTGAGTCACAGCCCCCGGCCATAATTTAGCACTTTAAAAAATAATAGCCATGTTGGGCCAGGCGTGGTGGCTCATGCCTGTAATCTGAGCACTTTGGGAGACCAAGGCGGGTAGATCCCTTGTGCCCAGGAGTTCAAGACCAGCCTGGGCAACATGGCGAAACCCCATTTCTACTAAAAATACAAAAATTAGCTGGGGCGAGGGGATAGGCCGAGTTCCGGGTGTAAGGGGGCCATTAGGGAGAGCAGAGCGAGGCAGCTGATCTTCCGGATTGGGGGCCTTGCCCGGAAGCTGGACCTCACGGAGATGAAACGGAAGATGCACGAGGATATGATCTCCATACAGAACTTTCTCATCTACGTGGCCCTGCTGCGAGTCACTCCATTTATCTTAAAGAAATTGGACAGCATATGAAGATTGGACATCACATGTGAATGCATGATATGAAGAGCCTGGTTACAGTTTCTACTGTTCTCTGCAAGTAAATAGGCCCAGAAAGGTATAAGAGACTCTTTGAATGGACATAAAAATTCTGCTTGTTAAGAACAAGTTGAGCTCTGGTAACTGATCTTAATAGCTAAAATATAAAAATATTTGGGAAGTCTGAAATGAGGTCTCCTGGCCCTGGTGTGCCCTTAATGCCTGTGACAGTTGGCCTCTGTGAATATTGGTATAATTGTAAATAATGTCAAACTCCATTTTCTAGCAAGTATTAATAATTAAGGGAAGTATGTCTGAAATGGCACTGTCTTGTCAGTCATTTCTGTTTACCCTTCTGTCTGGAGTGTATTTGTGAAGAGTCCCTTATAACTTATGTTTTATGGACATCAGCACATAACCACAATGACATTGAAGCACAGGATCATTAGTCTATATTTTATTTTATTATTTTATTTATTTATTTATTTATTTTTGAGATGGAGTCTTGCTCTGTCGCCCAGGCTGGAGTGCAGTGGCACAATCTCGGCTCACTGCAAGCTCTGCTTCCCAGGTTCACGCCATTCTCCTGCCTCAGCCTCCCGAGTAGCTGGGACTACAGGTGCCCACCACCACACCCGGCTAATTTTTTGTACTTTTAGTAGAGATGGGGTTTCACTGTTTTAGCCAGGATGGTCTCGATCTCCTGACCTCATGATCCACCCGCCTTGGCCTCCCAAAGTGCTGGGATTATAGGTGTAAGTCACCATGCCCAGCCCGTTAGTCTATATTTTTAAGTAAACATACCAATTAAGAAAGAAGCCAAAAACCAAAATTAGCCAGGTGTGGTGGCACGTGCCTGTAGTCCCAGCTACTTGGGAGGCTGAGGTGTGAGGATCACTTGAACTCAGGAGGCAGAGGTTGCAGTGACCCAAGATGGTGCCGCTGCACTCCAGCCTGGGTGACAGAGTGAGACCCTGTTTCCACAAAAAGAAAAAAAAAATAGCCGTGCCTGTACTTCAGTACTTACAAATTTAACTTTAGTATAGATGTACAGTAATTTATTCAATCATTTCCTTACTCATAGACAATTAGGATGTTGCAACTTTTGCCACTACAAACAATTCTGCGATGTGGATTATCGTACTTATTCCCATTTATTGGTGCTTTCATTTCTATAAGAATGGATTTTTAAAGATAGAATTCCTTGGGAATAGTTATGTCAAAGCCAAATATAATATAGAGACAAATCTCTAAAAACATTTTATTTGGTAAGCAAGAGCTGCAATTCATGGCATACACACAGACCGGGCTGATCATTGGTATGATCAGGAGAATAAAGGGAAGGTTGCGGCCAGGTGTGAGAGCTCATGCCTGTAATCCCAGCACTTTGGGAGGCCGAGGCGGGCAGATCACCTGAGGTCAGGAGTTTGAGACCAGCCTGACCAACATGGAGAAACTCCGTCTCTACTAAAAATACAAAATTAGTTGGGCATAGTGGCGCATGCCTGAATCCCAGCTACTCAGGAGGCTGACACAGGAGAAATGCTTGAACCCGGGAGGTGAAGGTTGCAGTGAGCCGAGATCGCGCCATTGCACTCCAGCCTGGGCAACAAGAGCAAAATTCCATCTCAAAAAAAAAAAAGAGAAGGTTCCGGGTTTTATGAGAAAGAACAGTATTACATACTGTTTTGGAAGAAAGCTCATTCACACTAGAGCTTGTGGGAGCTAGCAAGCTCTGATTGGTGAGCGATGGTGGTAGGTAAAACCAGTCTTAGAGTCATGGCAGTTCATTTTAGCAGCTATTAGGTAAAACTGGTCTTAGGGATACAGAAGGCTGGTTCAGCAGTTGGACTTGTGGAAAATTTAATTCTTGAAGCAGATGCTGTGTGCCCCGAATGCTTCTTCCCCCTGGCCCTTCAACTCTGATTTAGTTGAGTATTTCAAGAATGACCCAATTTATGTAATCAACTTTCACAGGTATACATGTCTTAAACTTTAAACAGATGTTTTGGGTTTTGTTGTTGTTGTTTTTGAGACGGAGTCTCACTCTGTTGTCCAAGCTGGAGTGTAGTGGTGTGATCTCGGCTCACTGCAACCTCCGCCTCCAGGGTCAAGTGATTCTCCAGCCTCAGCCTCCTGAATAGCTGGGATTACAGGCGCCCGCCACCACGCCCAGCTAATTTTTGTATTTTTAGTAGAGATGGGGTGGGGTTTCACCATGTTGGCCAGGCTGGTCTTGAACTCCTGACATCAAGTGTTCTGCTCACCTCAGCCTCTGAAAGTGCTGGGATTACAGGCGTGAGCCACTGCGCCCGGCAGTCTTTCCTTCTTTTTTTTTTTTTTTTTTTTTTTTTTTAATGACATGGGGTCTTACTTTATTACTCAGGCTGGTCTCAAACTTCTGGCCTCAAGGAATCTTCCCACCTTGGCCTCCCAAATTGCTGGGATTACAGGCATAAGTCATCATGCCTGGCTACAAACAGATATTTTCAATAAGAGGATAAAAGTTCATTTCCCCATACTTTGCTAACATCAAATGTTATTAATTCCTAATAGTTTTGCCAAACTGAGAGGAAAATGGTATGTTAGTTTTTCTGGGTTTTCTTTCTTTTTAATTTTTTTTCTTTTTTATTCATCGCAACACTATTCACGATTTTTTTATTTTTTATTTTATTTATTTATTTATTTTTTTTTGAGACAAGGTCTCCCTATGTTGCCCAGGCTGGTCTTGTACCCCTGGGCTCAAAGGATCCTCCTGCCTCAGCCTCCCAAAGTGCTAGGATTACAGGCATGAGTCACCACGCCTGGTTCACAATTTCTTTTTGTTTTTACCAAAGGCAGGTATATTCCTGAAATTTTTTGTTTTTTTGTTTTTTTTTTGAGATGAAGTCTCACCCTGTCACTCAGACTGGAGTGCACTGGCACGATCTCAGCTCACTGCAACCTCCGCTTCCTAGGTTCAAGCGATTCTCCTGCCTCAGTCTTCAAAGTAGCTAGGATTATAGGCGCCGCAACCATGCTAAGCTAATTTTTGTATTTTTAGTAGAGACAGGATTTCACCATGTTGGCCAGGGTGATCTCAAATCCTGACCTCAAGTGATCCGCCTGCCTCAGCCTCCCAAAGTGCTGGGATTACTGGCATGAGCCACCGTGCCAGGCCCTGAAATGTTATCTTAGTTATTAATTTGCAATTCCTTGGCTCTAGAGGTTGGGCATCTTCTCAGATCTCTAGTGGACATTTGGATTTTCTTTTTGGTGAACTGTCCAGTTTTTCTCTCTGCTTTACAATCTTTATTATATGCAATCTTCACATGTAGGTACTACCATTTTTTTAGTTTGTTTTTGAAACAGCATATTGCTCTGTTGCCCAGGCTGGAGCACGGTGGCAAAAACATGGCTTACTGCAGCCTTTGACCTCCTTGGCTCAAGTACTCCTCCTGTCTCAGCCTCCTGAGTAGCTGGTACCACAAGCCCATACCACCATGCCCAGCTAATTTATTTTTGTAGAGATGGGGCCTGACCATGTTACTTGGGCTCAAATGATCCTCTCCCACTCAGCCTCCCAAAGTGCTAGGATTACAGGCATGAGCCACCATACTTGGCCCTTTTTTTTTTTTTTTTTTTTTTTTTTTTGAGACAGAGTCTTGCTCTGTCTCACAGGCTGGTGTGCAGTGGCACGATCTCAGCTCATTGCAACCTCCACCTCCCAGTTTCAAGTGATTTTTGTGCCTCAGCCTCCCTAGTAGCTGAGATTACAGGCATGCACCACCATGCCTGGCTGACTTTCATATCTTTAGTGTTGCCATGTTGGCTAGGCTGGTCTCAAACTCCTGACCTCATGTGATCCACCTGCCTCGGACTCCCACAGTGCTGGGATTACAGGTGTTAGCCACCACCCCGACATTATTTGAAACTTTTATTTTATCATGAGAGAGTTCCAGGAGTCAACTGAAGAGAGATTTTTGGTATGAAAATTACATATGCAAAAAGACTGATTCCAGTACATGAAATTAAATTCAACATTTACATTAAATGCCTTCAAATATGGTAAAATGGTTTCTTTTGGCAGTTTACCTCATTATGTTTTGAATGATTTGTCTATCATATGAAATAACTTTTATAAATATAGTAACTCAGGCCTGGGCACAGCGGCTCAAGTGGGAGGACTGCTTAAGCAACCGAGTTTGAGACCAGCGTGGACAACATGGGGAGACCCCTTCTCTCCCAAAAAATAGCTGAGCATGGCAGCGCACTGCTAAAGGAAACAGAGTTTCTTTGGTGGGTGATTAAAATGTTCTGGAGTTAGATAGTAGTGATGGTTGCACAACCTTGTGAATATATTAAGGTTTCCGCTCTATCTACCATTCAATTGTACTCTCTAAAACGATTAATTCTATAGTATATCAATTATATCTCTAAATAATAAAAACAAAAAGAAATGGCTGGGTGCGGTGGCTCATGCCTGTAATCGCAGCACTTTGGGAGGCTGAGGCGGGCGGATCACAAGGTCAGGAGTTTGAGACCAACCTGACCAACATGGCAAAACCCAGTCTCTACTAAAAATACAAAAATTAGCTGGGTGTGGTGGCACACGCCTGTAATCCTAGGTACTCGGGAAGCTGAGACAGGAGAATCACTTGAACCCGGGAGGCAGAGGTTGCAGTGAGCCACTGCACTCCAGTCTGGGTGGCAGAGCGAGACTCCGTCTCAAAAAGAAAAAAATTAAAAAACAAAAAGAAACCTGGTTCTATATTTTGTTTAAATTTATTTTTTTAACCATCATGTAATATGTCCAGGTAATTTGTTTAAATTTTGACATCAAATGCAATTGTGAGAATTTTTATGATTCAGAAAAATCTAAGCAAGCTTTATAAAAACATACTTTTTTTTTTACTTTTTTTTTTTTTTCTGAGACACAGCCTCACTCTGTCGCCCAGGCTGGAGTGCAGGTTTTCATGTTTATCTGTGAGATGTACCTTTGGCACATTACTTTCCTGACATGAGATTTAAATTTTTTTTTTTATCTTGTGACAATTTAACTTTTTTGACACATAAAAATTGTACATATTTATTTGTTTGAGATGGAGTCGCACTCTGTCACTCAGGCTGGAGTGCAGTGGCGTGATCTTGGCTCACTGCAACCTCCGCCTCCCGAGTTCAAGTGATTCTCCTGGCTCAGCCTCCCAAGCAGCTGTCATTACAGGCCTGCACCACCACACCCGGCTGATTTTTGTATTTTTAGGAGAAACAGGGTTTCACCATGTTGGCCAGGCTGGTCTTGAAGTCCTGACCTCAAGTGATCCACCCACCTTGGCCTCCCAAAGTGCTGGGATTATAGGCATGAGCCACCGTACCAGACCCCTAAAAATTGTATATATTTAAGGTGTACCATTTGATGTTTAGATATACATTGTGAAATGATTACATTCCACATATTACCTCTACAGAGTTACCATTTTTGTACACTTGGTCAACATCATCCCATTCTCCCCTTCCTCCACAGATATTTCTTGTATACTATATAGAAGCCAAGGGTATTTTGGGGGAAGAGCTCAAAGTTCCTTTCGTGGAGTTAAAAATATATATATACTATGTACATATAAGCCATTTAGCAACCCTAGATGCTTAATAAAGAATACTGGAGGCCCGGTGTGGTGGCTCACACCTGTAATCCCAGCACTTTGGGAGGCCGAGGCGGTCGGATTACGAGGTCAGGAGTTCAAGACCAGCCTGGCCAACATGGTGAAACCCCATCTTTACTAAAAATACAAAAATTAGCCGGGTGTGGTGGTGGGCGCCTGTAATCCCAGCTACTCGGGGGGCTGAGGCAGAATTGCTTGAACCTGGGAGGCAGAGGTTGCAGTGAGCTGAGATCACGCCACTGCATTCCAGCCTGGGTGACAGAGCAATACTCTGTCGCAAAAAAAAAAAAGAATACTGGAGGCTGGGCGAGGTGGCTCACACCTGTAATCCCAGCATTTTGGGATGCCAGAGGCGGGCGGAATATCTTGAGCTCAGGAGTTCGAGACCAGCCTACACAATATGCTCCAAACGCCGCCTCTACAAAACATACAGAAACTAGCCGGGTGTGGTGGCGTGCCCCTGTGGTCCTAGCTACTTGGGAGGTTGAGGCGGGAGGATCGCTTGAGCTCGGGAGGTCGAGGCTGCAATGAGCCGAGATGGTGCCACTGCACTCTGACGACAGAGCGAGACTCCGTCT
Organism: Homo sapiens; assembly: GCF_000001405.40. Classification (NCBI taxonomy): domain Eukaryota; kingdom Metazoa; phylum Chordata; class Mammalia; order Primates; family Hominidae; genus Homo; species Homo sapiens. The sequence goes on from NT_187651.1 coordinate 274,356, forward strand.
CAAAACAAACAACAAATAAGGTTGGGGGATCAAATATCTTCTAGTGTTTAAGGATCTGCCTTCCTTCCTGCCCCCATGTTTGTCTTTCCTTGTTTGTCTTTATATAGATCAAGCAGGTTTTAAATTCCTAGTAGGAGCTTACATTTACTTTTCCAAGGGGGAGGGGGAATAAATATCTACACACACACACACACACACACACACACACACACACACTGGAGTTCGAGACGAGGCCTAAGCAACATGCCGAAACCCCGTCTCTACTAAATACAAAAAATAGCTGAGCTTGGTGGCGCACGCCTATAGTCCTAGCTACTGGGGAGGCTGAGGTGGGAGGATCGCTTGAGCCCAAGAAGTCGAGGCTGCAGTGAGCCGAGATCGCGCCGCTGCACTCCAGCCTGAGCGACAGGGCGAGGCTCTGTCTCAAAACAAACAAACAAAAAAAAAAGGAAAGGAAATATAACACAGTGAAATGAAAGGATTGAGAGAAATGAAAAATATACACGCCACAAATGTGGGAGGGCGATAACCACTCGTAGAAAGCGTGAGAAGTTACTACAAGCGGTCCTCCCGGCCACCGTACTGTTCCGCTCCCAGAAGCCCCGGGCGGCGGAAGTCGTCACTCTTAAGAAGGGACGGGGCCCCACGCTGCGCACCCGCGGGTTTGCTATGGCGATGAGCAGCGGCGGCAGTGGTGGCGGCGTCCCGGAGCAGGAGGATTCCGTGCTGTTCCGGCGCGGCACAGGCCAGGTGAGGTCGCAGCCAGTGCAGTCTCCCTATTAGCGCTCTCAGCACCCTTCTTCCGGCCCAACTCTCCTTCCGCAGCCTCGGGACAGCATCAAGTCGATCCGCTCACTGGAGTTGTGGTCCGCGTTTTTCTACGTCTTTTCCCACTCCGTTCCCTGCGAACCACATCCGCAAGCTCCTTCCTCGAGCAGTTTGGGCTCCTTGATAGCGTTGAGTGGAGGCCCTGCCGCGACTTGGCAGTAGCTTATTTTGTTCACTCCTCTCTGGCTGGTGTGGGGGAGGTGGGGGCATTAGGCCAGGGTGAAGCAGGGGAACCACTTAGGAGTCTGTTAAGATGATCTGAACTTCAGAACAAGATGTTATTAACAGAGTGAAAGTATTTGGATTCTGGGTATATTTTGAAATCGGAGGCAACAGGTTTTTCAGATAGATTCGATAACGGAGGTTATCCTGAATAGTTGAAAAGATAAAGTTGCCTTTTGCTGAGGTGGGAAAGAGAAGATTGCCAGTAGAGCAGGTTTCTCAGGAGTTCAGTCTTGGGCATAGCATGGTAGGGGTGAATTTGGCTGGAGTGAGTTGGAGAGTAGGAGAAGAGAAATCCAAGGCAACATTTGACCAGCCTGGGCAACATAGTGTGACTCCGAGTCTGCAAAAATTAGACGGGTGTTGTGGTGCGCGTCTGTGGTCTCAGCTACCTGGAAGGTTCAGGCCTTGGAAGGCTCAGGGAGGTGGAGGCTGCAGTGATCTGTGATTGCGCCTCTGCACTCCAGCCTGGGCGACAGAGCCAGACCCTGTCTTAAAACAAAATAAACGGCCGGGCGCGGTGGCTCAAGCCTGTAATCCCAGCACTTTGGGAGGCCGAGGCGGCCGGATCACAAGGTCAGGAGATCGAGACCATCCTGGCTAACACGGTGAAACCCCGTCTCTACTACAAATACAAAAAATTAGCCGGGCGTGGTGACGGGCGCCTGTAGTCCCAGCTACTCGGGAGGCTGAGGCAGGAGAATGTCATGAAGCCGGGAGGCGGAGCTTGCAGTGAGCCGAGATCGCGCCACTGCACTCCAGCCTGGGCGATAGAGCAAGACTCCGTCTCAAATAAATAAATAAATAAATAAATAAATAATAAAAACATCGGTAGGCATATTTCAAGGAATTCTATTTAAAAAAAATTTTTTTAGAGACAAGTTCGCTCTCTGTGGCCCAGGCTGGAGTACAGTGGCATGATCCTAGCCCATGGCAGCGTTGATCTCTTGGCCTCAAGCGACCCTCCTTTGGAGTCGCTGGGCCTAAAGGAGTGAGCCACCACGAAATTTTATTATAAATGGAGGGTAGAGAAATTGGGCAATAAATGGAGGGGGAAGTGAGTTAAGAGGAATTTTAATTATGTGTGTGTGGTTTTAAAAGAGGGGGGTCTTGCTCTGTTGCCCAGGCTGCTGGGGTGCCAGTGGCGCAATCATGAATCACTACAGCCTTGGACTCCTGGCCTCAAGCTATCCTCCCACCTCTGCCTCCCAAAGTACTGGGATTACTAGTGTGAGCCACTGCACTAAGATAGGAGCAACATGTTTCAGCATGTTTGTGGGTTGATAGGAAAGATGAGAATGGGAAAGTTGATGTCGGAAAGAAGACAATGGCTAGAGCAATGTCCTAGAGTAGGTAAGAAGGGATGGATTTGGCCTTTGTTGGAAACATTAGCGGTTCTTTTGGTGACAGCTATATAGTTAACACATCTATGATACGTGAATGGGCAGATAGGATGGCAGGAGATTTTGAAAGTTCTCTTGATTCTTACTGTTCTCTTAGTGAAAGAAGCAAGGTTATCAGCTAGAAGCTGGGATGGGAGAGGAAAGAGAAGATGGGAAGTAGATAGTTCTTTAGAAGAGTGGGCAAGGGTTGGACTAGGGAAGTTTAGTGGAAATATTGCTAGGCAACATAAAGAGCCTACTTGAGATTCGTGGTCATGAGTTGAAGGAGACCAGACAGCAAGATTGTGTATGAGGGCACCCACAGAGTAAATGGAGAGTTGAAATTAATGCAGTTGTGATTTTACCACGTGGATATGAAGAAGTGAGGGGGAGAAGTACAAAGGAGTTCTCTTAATGATTGACCATGGAATTTAAGCTGGCTAAGAAAGGAAGTGAGAGGCCGGGCGCGGTGGCTCACGCCTGTAATCCCAGCACTTTGGGAGACTGAGGTGGGTGGATTACCTGAGGTCAGGAGTTTGAGACCAACCTGGCCGATATGGCGAAACCCCATCTCTAATAAAAATACAGAAAAATTAGCCGGGAATGGTGGCAGGTGCCTGTAATCCCAGCTACTCAAGAGGCTGTGGCAGGAGTATCCCTTGGACCCAGGAGGTGGAGGTTGCAGTGAGCCGAGATCACGCCACTGTACTCCAGCCTGGACGATATAGTGAGACTTCACCTCAAAAAAAAAAAAAAAGAAAGGAAGTGAGGATTTTAAGACCCTGAGAGACAGTTTAAAAAGTGGGAGGATCGGCCGGGCGCTGTGGCTGACACCTGTAATCCCAGCACTTTGGGAGGCCGAGTTGGGCAGATCACAAGGTCAGGAGTTCGAGACCAGCCTGGCCAATATGGTGAAACCTTGTCTCTACTAAAAATACAAAAATTAGCCGGGCATGGTGTCACGTGTCTATAATCCCAGCTACTCGGGAGGCTGAGGCAGAAAAATTGCTTGAACCTGGGAGGCAGAGGTTGCAGACAGCTGAGATCACTCCATTGCACTCCAGCCTGGGCAACAAGAGCAAAACTTTGTCTTTAAAAAAAAAAAAAAAAAAAGAATACAAAAATTAGCCGGGCGTGGTGGCGCGTGCCTATAATCCCAGCTACTTGGGAGGCTGAGGCAGGAGAATCAGTTGAACACGGGAGGCGAGGTTTGCAGTGAGCCGAGATTGCGCCACTGCACTCCAGCCTGGGCGACAGAGCAGGACTCCTCTTGGAAAAAAAAAATTAGCTGGGCATGGTGGCAGGTGCCTGTAGTCTCAGCTACTAGGGAGGCTGAGGCAGGAAAATCACTTGAACCCGGGATGTGGAGTTTGCAGTGACCCGAGATCGTGCCACTGTACTCCATCCTGGGCGACAAAATGAGACTCTGCCTCAAAAAAAAAAAAAAAAAAAAGTGGGAGGATCAATGTACTGCCAGTCCTAATGAAGTGGAATGATTGTCCCCATCAAATCACTAGTAGGAGTAAGTTGCAGAGCCTAGAAGGTGATGGTTAAGAGAGTGGGATTCTTGAAACTGCATTTATGGAGAGGTTGTGGTTATTGGTTATAATAAATAAATACAGTTGAAGTGAGTGAGTAGCTGAGATTTGGGGATGTATCAGTTCATTCTTACACTGCTACAAAGACATACCTGAGACCAGGTATTTATAAAGATAAGAGGTTTAATCAGCTCACAGTTCTGCTGCCTGTACAGGCTTCTCTTGTGGAGGCCTAAGGAAACTTACAGTCATGGTGGAAGGTGAAGGGGAAACAAGCACAGTCTTCACATGGCCAGCAGGAGAGAGAGAGAAGGGGGAAGTGCTACATACTTTAAAACAACCAGATCTTGTGAGAACGCTTATCAGGAAACAGCACTTGGGGATGGTGCTAAATCATTAGAAATCACCCCCATGATCCAGTCGCCTCCTACCATGCCCACCTCCAACACTGGGGATCACAATTCAGCATGAGATTTGGGTAGGAACACAGAGCTGCACCACATCAGAGGATGTACAAGATTGTGGTGGAGAGGAGTTTAGAGACCTGCAAATATAGGGTAATTGAAGGGATCATCTACATGGATATTTAAATCACCAAAAATTATGACAGGAGTAGTGTTGGAGAGAGAACTGCGATGTAAACATTAAGGAATGAGGAAGAGTGACTCGGTAGGCTGTAGGTGACTGCAATAGGAAACGATAATAGACTGTGAGTCTGGTGACAAGATTTTCCTTCTTTCTTTTTTCCCCCCCCCCGAGACAGGGCCTCTTTTTGTTGCCCAGGTGGGAGTGCAGTGGCGCGATCACGGCTCACTACAACCTCCTCCCAAGCTCAAGGGATTCTCCCACTTCAGCCTCTCAAGTAGCTGGAACTACAGGTGCTGACCACCATGCCTGGCTACTTTTTGTCAGGATTTTCAAGGCTGGGAATTTTGAGAGGGGAATGGAGGAGAATAATCTGAAAGTGCAAGTAAGGAGCAGGGAAGATTTCTTTTTTCTTTTTTTTTTTTTTTTTGAGTCGGAGTCTGGCTCAGTCGCCCAGGCTGGAGTGCAGTGGCGAGATCTCCGCTCACTGCAAGCTCCGCCTCCCGTGTTCACGCCATTCTCCTCCTTCAGCCTCCCGAGTAGCTGGGACTACAGGCGCCCGCCACCACGCCCAGCTAATTGTTTTTTTGTATTTTTAGTAGAGACGGGGTTTCACCGTGTTAGCCAGGATGGTCTCAATCTCCTGACTTTGTGATCCGCCCACCCCGGCCTCCCAAAGCGCTTGGGATTACAGGCGTGAGCCACCGCGCCAGCCAGAGCAGGGAAGATTTCTTCCCCACATCTCCAGTAGGTACAGTGATATGAAGTGTGTGGAGGAGAAAAGAGGAAACATCTATCATTTGAGATGGCTGCGAAAGGAAAAGGCATCCTCAGGGAGCTAGATTTTACTTAGAGCAAGAAATGAAGGGATGATTCAGAGGTTAAAGAGTGGATTTTATGAATTACTCAAGGGAGCACAGTGGAAGTTTCAGGAAGTGGTAGGAGAAGGTAGAAGATGGCAGGGTGTTGGGAATAATTTGAGAAATCTGAGCTACTGGAAATGACTGAGAATCAGATATAAAGGCAGTCCTGGTGGTCCGTTCTGGCTGCCGTTGCTGTGTAACGAATCTGCCAAAACTTAGTGGCTTGAAACAACAAAGAACATTTTATTATCTCTCATTGTTTCTGTGGGTTAGGAATTTGTGAGAGCCGTGCTGGGCAGTTTTCGTGCGGCTGTCTCGTGGTTGCACCTACATAGTTGCTAGAGCTACAGTAGCTGGGGACTGAGCAGCTAGGGATTGGCAGGCTATCTCTTTTTTTCATGTAGTCTCATGAAGATTTCTTTATGTGGTTTCAATGTGTGGGCTGGTTTGGATTTCCTTATAGCATGGTGGCCTCAGTTGGATTGCTGTTTTGTGATCCTTTTCATCCCTCCTTGTCCTGTCCCCAGACAACCACTGATCTACTTTCTGTCACCATAGATTAGCCTGCATTTTTAAGAATTTTTATAAACGTGGAATGATAGAGTACCTTTTTTGTCACGTTTCTTTTATTTATCATAGCTATTTTGATTTTCATCCATTTTATTGCTGAGTAGTATCCCATTGCATGTATATACTATACTGTATTCATTCGCTTGCTTGTGAACATTTGGGCTTTTTCCAGTTTGGGACTGTTAACAAGTAGAGCCACTATGAATATTAGTGTATAAGACTTCATATAGCCAAGGCTGGCAGATCGCTTGAGCCCAGGAGTTTGAGACCAGCCTGGGAAACATGGTGAAACCTCTATTTTTATTTTAAAATCAAAAATTAAAAATTTTCTATAAAAAATTTTAAAGAAGACTTTGTATAGACATACGCTTTCATTTTTCTTGAGTGAATACTTAGGTCTCAGGGTAGATGTATTTTAAGTCTTTAAGGAGCTGTCAAACTCTTCCTCAAAGTGGTGGTTGTACCATGTTACTTTTTAATATAACAGAGATTAATTGAGCAAAGAAAAATTCAAAAGTTGGACAGCCCCCACAACTAAATAGGTTCAGAACAGCTCCCCCATTTTGCATTTTGACCAGCAATGTATGAAAGTTCCATTTGCTCAGTGTCCCTGCAAACACCTGGTATGGTCAGTCTTTTTAATTTTAGGCATTATAATAGATATAGTGGCTTCTTGTGATTTTAATTAGCATTTCCTAATGACCAGTGCTGCTGTTGATCATTTCATGAGTGTATTTGCCATCCGTATATCTTTTTTGGTGAAGTGTCTATTCAAATCATTTGGGTTTTTTTTTTGTTTGTTTTTTTTTTTTGGAGACAGTGTCTCACTCTGTCACCCAGGCTGTTGTGCAGTGGTGCAATCACACAGCCTACTGCAGCCTCCACCTCCTGCGCTCAGTCTTCTTGTCTCAGCCTTCTGAGTAGCTGAAATTACGAGCACACGCCACAATGCCTGGCTAATTTTTTAAAATTTTGTAGAAACAAGGTCTCATTATGTTGCCTGGGCTTGTCGTGAACTCCTGGGCTCAAGCAATCTTCCTGCCTCAGCCTCCCAAAGATTGGGATTGCAAGTATGAGCCACTGCACCCGGCCAACTTACCCATCTTTTAATTGAATTTTTTTGTTGTTGAGGTTTGAGAGTTCTTCATGTTTGCTGGGTACAATATCTTTATCAGATAGGTAACTTGCATGTATTTTCTCCCGGTTTACACTTTGGTTTTTCATTTTGTTAACAACGTCTTTTTAAGAACAGAAAATCTTAATTTTGCTGAAATCTAATTTTTCAGTTTTTTCTTTGATGGTTTTGAGAGAGGAGGTAAAAAAAGACTAGGTAAGCCGATAGTTAGACAGAGTCCTCGGTAGAACTTCCCTTCTAACAAAAAGCAGCCCAAGAAATCACTTCTCTTCTAACAAGGAGCAGCCTGGAAGATCGGGCTGTAAACATGTATAAGGAAGCAGCTCTGGCACAGAGGGGGAGCTTCCTGGGTAATCAGCAAGCTTCACATACGTAAGGTGGGTATGTGAAGTAAACACAGTATGTGAAGTAAACACAGTGGACCTTAGTACATACTCAGATAAGGAAGCTGGAAGCTTGCATGTTGTGAGTTGTTGGGGTTGCCTGCAGCTGCACGGAGAGAAAGGGGTACCTGGGGCCAGGCATGTCCACCATGGTGGCTCCACCTCCCCTTATTTAGCACATGCACAATAGGAAAGAGATAAGCAATGTGGAGTAGCTCAGGCCAAGGACCTGCCTGCATAATAAAAGGTTGGGGTGGGGGATGCCAGAGATTCACGCTCTGTGCAGATGGCAACACCTGGTCCTAACTGGTTTTTTGCTCCCTATGTGTAGATAAGCTACCCCCTTCCCATTAGCTCATTTATAAAAATGCTTGCATTTCACTGTGGAATGGGAACTCTTTTCAGGACCTCTCTCTGCAGGAGAGAGCTAGTCTCTTTCTTTTGCCTATTAAACTTCTGCTCTAGCCTCACACCCTTGGTGTGTCAGCGTCCTTGATTTCCTCAGCGTGAGACCAAGAACCTCGGGTGCCACCCCAGGCAACAAGGCCATTTCAGTTTGTTCTTTTGTTATAGGCAATCCATGATCACAGATTTTTCTCTCTTTTTTTTTTTTACACAGTTTAGAGTTTTAGTTTTACACTTAGGTCTGTAATCCATTTTGTATTAATTCTTATATGTGGCTCAGTGTAGGTGGAAATTTGGTTTGTTTTTGCATAAGGATTTCCAATAGTTTTACCACCATTTCTTGAAACTACTATGCTTTCTCTATTAAACCACATTTGTAACTTTAGTTAAAATCAGTCACATATATCACAGGGCTATTTCTGACTCTCAATTCTGTTACATTGTCTATTAGTGTATATTGATGTCAGTACTACACTTTTAATTACTATTGCTTCAGGGTATGTCTTGTAAACCAAAAATAAAATTATAGGCCCCCCCCGCCCCTGCACAACCAACTGAATGGACCCATCCTCTCAGCCAAGGGCATTCCAAAATTAACCTGAAAAACTAGTTCAAGCCATGATGGGAAGGGGGAGTTGGACATGTCTCATCACACCCTACTACCTTTTGGAATTACTGATAGAACAGACTCTTAAAGTCTGAAAAGAAACATTTACAACCTACCCTCTCTGAAGCCTGCTACCTGGGAGCTTCATCTGCATGATAAAACCTTGGTCTCCACAACCCCTTATGGTAACCCAAACATTCCTTTCTGTTGATAATAACTCTTTCAACTAGTTGCCAATTAGAAAATCTTTAAATCTTCCTATGACCTAGAAACCTCCCTACCCCCACTTTGAGTTGTCCTGCCTTTCCTGACAGAACTCATGTACATCTTACATATATTGATTGATGCCTCATGTCTCCCTAAAATGTATAAAACAAAGCTGTACCCCACCACCTTGGGGACATGTCATCAGGACCTCCTGTGGCTGTGTCATAGGAGCGTCTTTAACTTTGGCAAAATAAACTTTCTAAATTGATTGAAACCTGTCTTAGCTACTTCTGGTTTACAGTCTTAAAGTTAGATAATGTAAATTGTCCAGCTTTGGTTTATTTTTGTCCTTAGTAGTTCCATATAAATTTTAGAATCAGCTTTTCAATTTAATACACTACTTTCCTCTTAGATCCACAATTAAATATATTTGATGCTAACAATTCTGTTTTATGTTTTTCGTTTTTTTTTTTTGAGACAAGAGTTTCGCTCTTGTTGCCCAGGCTGGAGTGCAGTGGCGCGATCTTGGCTCACCACAACCTCCACCTCCCAGGTTCAAGCAATTCTTCTGCCTCAGCCTCCCGAGTAGCTGGGATTACAGGCATGCGCCACCACGCCCGGCTAATTTTGTATTTTTAGTAGAGACGGGGTTTCACCATGTTGATCAGGCTGGTCTTGAACTCCTGACCTCAGGTGATCCACCCACCTCGGCCTCCCAAAGTGTTGGGATTACAGGCGTGAACCACCATGCCTGGCCAGTTCTGTTATTTTTAAAACCCAAGTTTCCCTGGTCATATCTTGGTTGGATGAAGCGTATTTTCAATAGATTACCCTGGAAAGGCTAGTGAGTACGGTATTCTTCTACATTTTAGACTTTTCTTAGTCTTGCTACTTCAAGGACAGCTAGGCTGCATATAAAATTCTTGGCTCATACTTTTTCCCCATAAATTTCTATGAGAAAGTCTAATGATAACTGATTTTCTTTATTTTGTAACTTAGTCTTTTTGCTTAGAGGCTCTCTGAGGATGGGAGGGGGTTCTTCCTCCCATCCCTAGGAATTTTTCTTTTTTTTAAATTCCTAATCACTAGACCACCAGGAAGATTGTTTGTTTTGTTTTGTTTTTATTCTTCAGGGACCCCATTTATACATACGTTAAATAAATACTGTTTGCCAATGTATCAACCATTTTGCTTCTTATTTATTTTTGTTCCTTTGGTTCTTTTTCATGGCTTTGCTTTGGTGCTCCTTAGATTTTCAGTCAGATGTATTTGTCCTTGGGTACCTTGTAATCAGTATTACCTTTTCTTCTGTCGCTTTGTTTTCTGTTCGTTTTGAAATTACTTGTTTCCTGGTCTGGCAATAACAGTTGAGATATGAGGAGTTTGAGCTGCCATCTGTCTGTGTATCTTGCTTTAAGACTGCACTCTTCTATTGATATCACTGGCCTTGATTTTGTGATTTCTTTATTTCTTCAGGACCACCCTTCATTTTCTACTGTTTGCTTCCTTTTTTTTTGAGATGGAGTCTCACTCTGTCACTCAGGCTGGAGTGCAGTGATCTTGGCTCATTGCAACCTCTGCCTCCCGGGTTCCAGCAATTCTCCTGCCTCAGCCTCCCAAGTATCTGGGACTACAGGTGTGCACCACCATGCCCGGCTAAGTTTTGTATTTTTAATAGAGACGGGGTTTTGCCACATTGGCAGGCTGGTCTCAAACTCCTGATGTCAAGTGATCCACCCACCCCACCCACCTCTGCATCCCAAAGTGCTGGGATTACAGGAATGAGCTGCCGTGCCCAGCCTCCCCCCTACCCCCCTTTTTTTCTTTCGAGACAGAGATTATAGGTGTGAGCCACTGGACCCAGCCTGTTTTTATTCCTTTTACCAAATCTCCAAGGAATATCTTCCCTTCCAAGTGCGAATGTAACCTTAAGTCAGTTAACCTCTTTGTGATTACTTTTCTTATCTGCAAAGTGACTTAATGATCTTAAGTACTTTTTTTTTTTGAGACAGGGTCTCACTGTCACCCTGGCTGGAGTGCAGTGGCACGATCTCTGATCTCCACTCACTGCAATCTCCTCTTCCCTGGTTCAAGCGGCCCTCCCACCTTAGCCTTCTGGGTAGCTGGGACTACAGATGTGAACCACCACGCCCAGCTAATTTTTGTACTTTTTGTAGAGATGGGGTTTTGCCATGTTGCCCAGGCTGGGATTATTAAGTACTTTTTATCATACAGCAAGATTGACATTTTATATTGGAATACATTTGTCTCTATATAACGGAGATTAACAGGAAAATGACAAGCCTGGGTGCGGTGGCTCATGCCTGTAATCCCAGCACTTTGGGAGGCTGAGGTGGGAGGATCACTTGAGGTCAGGAGTTCGAGACCAGTTTTGCCAAGATGATGAAAGCCCATGTCTACTAAAAATACAAAAATTAGCCCAGCTTGATGGTGGGCGCCTATAATCCCAGCTATTTGAGAGACTGAGGCAGGAGAATCACTTGAACCTGGGCGGCAGAGGTTGCAGTGAGCCGAGATCATGCCACTGCACTCCAGCCTGGGTGGCATAGCGAGACTCTTGTCTCAAGAGAAAACAAAACAAAACAAAAAAAAAACAGGAAAATGACAAAAAGTAATATTACAACTCAGTGAATTTTATAACAAACTTTTTTGGAATTCATTGACTAATACTATACCAAATCCAAAATACTCTCTAGTATACCAAATCCAACTCTACCCTATAGTATAAATTGGATTCTATTTGGACTTGTCTCACTAATCCCTCATACAGTGTGTTTTATTTTTTATTGAAGTAAAAAAATTTGTCATTTTAACCATTTTTAAGTATATAGTTCAGTAATATTAAGTATGTTCATGTTGTTGCGCAATAGATCTTCGGAAGTTTTTCGTCTTGCAACCTGAAACTCTACCCATTAGCAAATTCCCATTTCTCCTTACACTTAGCCCTTGGTAATCATCATTCTTTTTTTTTTTTTTTTTTTTTTGAGATGGAGTTTTACTCTTGTTGCCCAGGCTGGAGTGCAATGGTGCAATCTCGACTCACCACAACCTCCGCCTCCCAGGTTCAAGCAATTCTACCTCAGCCTCCCGAGTAGCTGGGATTACAGTCATGCACCACCACGCCCGGCTAATTTTGTATTTTTAGTAGAGAAGGGGTTTCTCCATGTTGAGGCTGGTCTCGAACTCCTGACCTCAGGTGATCTGCCCACCTCGGCCTCCCAAAGTGCTGGGATTACAGGCGTGAGCCACTGCGCCTGGCCCATTCTTTCTAATTCTATAAATTTGACTACTTAGTTACCTTACATAAATAAATTCTTATAGTTAGTGTTATTTTTGCTTCCATGCCTTTTTTGTTGTTGTTCATGCTCTTACTTGGAATGCGTTCTATTTTGTCTACCTATGCACATCCTGTTGGGTTTTTTTTTTTTTTGGGGGGTTTTTTTTGTTTTTTTTTGTTTTTTTTTCCCAGACAAGGTCTCAATTTGTTACCCAGGCTGGAGTGCAGCGGCGCCATCTCCACTCACTGCATCCTCAACTTCCTGGGCCCAGGTGATCCTCTCGCCTCAGCCCCTGCAGGTAGCTGGGACTATAGGCATGTGCCACCATGCCCAGCTAAATTTGGTTTTTTTGTTTGTTTGTTTTTGAGACAGAGTCTCACTGTGTCACCCAGGCTGGAGTGCAGTGGCACAATCTCAGCTCACTGCAATCTCTGCCGCCCGGGTTCAAGTGATTCTCCTGCCTCAGCCTCCCAAGCAGCTGGGATTACAGGTGACTGCCACCACGCCAGCTAAGTTTTGTAGTTTTAGTAGAGATGGGGTTTCACCTTGTTGGCCATGCTGGTCTCGAACTCCTGACCTCGTGATCTGCCTGCTTCTGCCTCCCAAAGTGCTGGAATTACAGGCATGAGCCACCACGCCCGGCCAGAATTTTTGTATTTTTAGTAGACACAAGGTTCTTACCCTGTTGCCTAGGCTGGTCTGGAAGTCCTGGACTCAAGCAATTCACCTGCCTTGGCCTCCCAAAATGCTGGGATTACAAGCCACCATGCCCGGCCTAAATCCTGTTGTTTTGTTTTGTTTTATTTTGTTTTGTTTTGTTTTGTTTGTTTTTTGAGACAGAGTCTCGCTATGTCTCTCAGGCTGTAGTGCAGTGGCGCGATCTTGGCTCACTGCCACCTCTGCCTCCCAGGTTCAAGTGATTCTCCTGCCTCAGCCTCCCAAGTAGCTGGGATTACAGGCATGTGCTACTATGTCCGGCTAATTTTTGTATTTTTAGTAGAGACAGGGTTTCACCATGTTGGCCAGGCTGGTCTCGAACTCCTGACCTCGTGATCCACCCACCTCGGCCACCCAAAGTGCTGGGATTACAGGCGTGAGTGGTTTTTATTTCTTAGGCCGGTTTCCTCCATATGATCTTGCAGTAGACATTAATTTCTTTCCTTTTTAATTAAAATACTGTTTGTATTTCACATTTTGATGTTTGTTAAGATTTGTTTTATATTGTTTTTTGTTTTGTCTTGTGTGATAGTCTTAAATCCCTAGTTAGATAATAACTGGAGAGTACCATGTTTCTATATATCTCTCAGTGACTTGCACAGTGCTAGCAGATAGTGCTAAAAAATTATTTATTATTATTATTATTTTGTTATTGTTGTTGTTGTTGTTAGACAGGGTCTTCCTCTGTCACCCAGGCTAGAGGGCAATGGGATGATCATAGCTTACTGCAGCCTCCAACAACTGGGCTCATGTAATTCTCCTGCCTCAGCTTCCCAAGTAGCTGGGATTACAGGCATGAGCCACCATGTCTGGACAAAAATATTTCCAGGTGCAGTGGCTCATGCCTGTAATTCCCACACTTGGGAGGCCGAGCGAGGCTGGAGGATCACTTGAGCCTAGGAGTTCAAGACCAGCTTGGCTAAGATGGCGAGACCCCGTCCCTACAAAAAATTTTAAAAACTAGCCAGGCATGGTGGCATGCACCTATATTCCCAACTACTCAGTGGGCTGAGGTGGGAGGGTCGTTTGAACACAGGAATTTGAGGGGAGAAAAAAAGAAGAGAGAAAGAGAAGTGAAGGAAGGAAGAAAGGAAGGAGGGAGGGAGAGAAGAAAGAAACGAAAGAAAGGAAAAGAAAAGGAAGGAAAGAAAATTGGTACCAGGAAAGCAGGAAAGGGAAATGGAAGTAAAAAAATAATAATAATAATAAAATGAAAATTGGTTAGTCACTATTAACAATTTGTATCCTTATAATCTGGAAACATTATAATTTCAAAAGAAAAAATATTCTTTGGATCATAGGTTCTGAGGTCAGAACAGCATTCCCGTAGTCTAGATGAAGTCAAGTTTTATCTGATCTTAATTGAAATAAATATAGCTGGCCTTGAACAAATCTACTCATGGTATGTGGATAGGAATTAAATTGTAGGGGCATTCACTTGATGGCATTCATTCTTAGAACATTTACCTATGTCTAGCTTTTGGAGTAAAGTCACATAACCTCTAACCAGGTAAGTTTCCTGTGGCTTTATTTAGGATTTTAAATACTCATTTTCAGTGTAATTTTGTTATGTGTGGATTAAGATGACTCTTGGTACTAACATACATTTTCTGATTAAACCTATCTGAACATGAGTTGTTTTTATTTCTTACCCTTTCCAGAGCGATGATTCTGACATTTGGGATGATACAGCACTGATAAAAGCATATGATAAAGCTGTGGCTTCATTTAAGGTATGAAATGCTTGCTTAGTCGTTTTCTTATTTTCTCGTTATTCATTTGGAAAGGAATTGATAACATACGATAAAGTGTTAAAGTACATGTTATTCAGTTTTCATTTTGAAGATTAGATGGTAGTATGAGTTAGTTAAATCAGGTGATATCCTCCTTTAGAAGTTGATAGCCTATATATGTCATCCTTTGTGGAGGCAATTTAAATAAAATTTAAAACATTTATTCCTGGCTGGGTATGGTGGCTCACTCCTGTAATCCCAGCACTTTGAGAGGCTGAGGCGGGTGGATCACCTGAGGTCAGGAGTTTGAGACCAGCCTGGCCAACATGGTGAAACCCCGTCTTTACTAAAAATACAAAAATTAGCCAAGCATGGTGGCACGTGCCTGTAATCCCAGCTGCTTGGGACACTGAGGCAGGAGAATTGCTTGAACCTGGGGGGCAGAGGTTGCAATGATTGCACCACTGCACTCCAGCCTGGGCGATAGAGTGAGACTCCATCTCAGAAAACGAACAAACAATGTATTCCTTTTAGTATTTTTACATTGTATCAAACTATGGAAGTCCTCTAATTGAGATTAATAAGAAAAAGACAATCTGAATTATAATTTTAAACATTTAACAAGCATGTAGTAAAATAATGATGAAGATAAATAGCATTAGTACAGCAATTAATATTTGTAGCATGCTGACAGTGCTCTGTGTGCGTTTCATATATTAAATTACTCTAATCATCCCAAATCCTGTAAGTTGGGTATCAATTCAAGTGTTCCTATTGGGTAGGAATATACAGTTCTTTTAGGAAATGTAGTATGGTTCTGTGTCTCAAACAGGACACTTACACAGTTGGCCAACATCATCACCTTCTCCATTCTCTGAGATGTTTAGTCTTACTGAGCACTAAATATGGGTCATCAATAGTCCAGACTACCTTGAGCAAACAATAGTCCAGACTACCTTGAGCAAACAGAGCATATACTCATACAGTGTATAAAGAGCACCAAGCATACAGATTTCATGTCTTTCTCATAGTTACTCTTGTAACATGAGCTAAAGATCAGACCTCTATGTCACCTTTGTAACTGATTTCTAGATTTTTTTTTTTTTTTGAGATGGGGTCTTGCCCTGTCACCCAGGCTGGAGTGTAGTGGCGTGATCATGCCTCATTGGAGCCTTCAACTCATGAGCTCAAACAATCCTCCTACCTCAGCTTCCTGAGTAGTTGGGACCACAGGTGTGTGCCACCACACCCAGCTCATTTTTGTATTCTTTGTAGAGATGCAGTCTCACCCTGTTGCCCACGCTGGCCTGGAACTCCTGAGCTCAAAAGATCCCTCCGCCTTGACCTTCCAAAGTGCTGGGATTACAAGCATGAACCACTGCACCCGGCCTAGATTTTTAAATGTGCTTTCCAGTATACACTGAAACTAGAAGTCGACTAAAGAATTACCAAGAGAATTCTATAAAATAGAGATTGAAATGGGGCTCGATGTGGGATGGGTTGGTGATATTGCAGGGAGAAGTAATCTGAGTAAAGGAGGAAAAGAACTGATTTGGGAAAACGATAGTTTTAGTAGTGAGTTTGAGTATGAATTAAGTTGAGATTGAATTTGAATTAAGTTGAGGTTGAATATGAATTAAGTTGAGGTTGAGTTTGAGGTATGAATTAAGATGTGAAATTGATCATTGGAAATGTTAGATTGAGAAAAGTCACAGCTGGATTAATAGCTTCAGAAGTGTGTTTGCAGACAGTTGCAACTAAAGTAATAAGAATAGATGGCCTTGGCCGGGCGCGGTGGCTCACGCCTGTAATCCCAGTACTTTGGGAGGCTGAGGCGAGCAAATCACGAGGTCAGGAGTTCAAGACCAGCCTGGCCCACATGGTGAAACCCCGTCTTTATTAAAAATACAAAAATTAGCTGTGCACAGTGGTGCACGCCTGTAATCCCAGCTACTCGGGAGGCTGAGACAGGAGAATCGCTTGAACCTGGGAGGTGGAGGTTGCAGTGAGCTGAGATCAGTGTGACTGCACTCCAGCCCGGTGACAGAGTGAGACTCTGTGTAAAAAAATAAAATAAATAAAATAATGGCCGTAAGCAAGTAAAGAAGGATGGCCAGCTCTTATTGGGAATGCCTAAATCTAAGGCTTGATCAGAAGTAATGAAACCGTTGGGGCCCTACATTGCTATGACATCCAAAGGGCCATGAATATCAGGAAGAAAGATAATTAACAGGGTCTAATGTTACAGAGAGGTTGAGAGCAAGGAGATTTGATTAAAAGGGTCTTTAGAGCTGATGTCAGGTGTATGATGCCTTTAAGAGCAGTTTTTATAGTGCAGGGGGTGGTCAAAAGAGAAAATAGGTGCTTTCTGAGGTGACGGAGCCTTGAGACTAGCTTATAGTAGTAACTGGGTTATGTCGTGACTTTTATTCTGTGCACCACCCTGTAACATGTACATTTTTATTCCTATTTTCGTAGCATGCTCTAAAGAATGGTGACATTTGTGAAACTTCGGGTAAACCAAAAACCACACCTAAAAGAAAACCTGCTAAGAAGAATAAAAGCCAAAAGAAGAATACTGCAGCTTCCTTACAACAGGTTATTTTAAAATGTTGAGATTTAACTTCAAAGGATGTCTCATTAGTCCTTATTTAATAGTGTAAAATGTCTTTAACTTAAGTGATTAGTACAGTGTTTCTATTGACATATACTTATACAACTTCAAAAACAACTATTAAATTTTCTGTTATTTAGGAACATGCATATTAGTCATGAAAGTATAAAGAATTAGATGGGAATGATAAATGCTAAAATCAGGACATGTGTTCCATTTGTGAATGGAAGGCAGGGAGAAGGTGCCGTTTGGAAGGAGTACCCAAGAGCCGTAAGCTGAATTGGCAGTGTTTTACATCTTAAGCTGAGAGATAGATTTTTTTTTCCCCTTTTTCTTTAAAAACTCTAAAACTGTTAATTCCAAGGAACCCAGAAGTCTAGGTAGATTATTTCTGCTAGTTAAAAGCAGTAGTCCTGAAAGCTGAATATTTTGGTGTCTTTTGAGCCAACTTTAGTTTCATCATTACCAAGGGGGAAGAGAGCTAACAGTTGATGAGCACTTGCTCTAGGCCAGTCCAGAGTGCTGGGCACCATACGCATTTTATCTCCCTCCCGCTATTCACAACAAATATGGGAGGTAGTTTATATTATAGCCATCTAATAAGATGGGGAAACTAAGACTCAAAGAGATTCAGAAACTTGTCCATGATTATAAATGTAAGAGAGTTGGAATTCAGATTTATGTATTTAGACCCCAAGCCTTTCTCATTACATCATTTTGCCTTCCAAATCTCTACCCTCTATCCTTCACCTCCCCACTGATCAAAACGAGATGATAGTTTGCCCTCTTCAAAAGAAATGTGTGCATGTATATATCTTTGATTTCTTTTGTAGTGGAAAGTTGGGGACAAATGTTCTGCCATTTGGTCAGAAGACGGTTGCATTTACCCAGCTACCATTGCTTCAATTGATTTTAAGAGAGAAACCTGTGTTGTGGTTTACACTGGATATGGAAATAGAGAGGAGCAAAATCTGTCCGATCTACTTTCCCCAATCTGTGAAGTAGCTAATAATATAGAACAGAATGCTCAAGAGGTAAGGATACAAAAAAAAAAAAATTCAATTTCTGGAAGCAGAGACTAGATGAGAAACTGTTAAACAGTATACACAGTTGTCAGTTTGATCCACCGAGGCATTAATTTTTTCTTAATCACACCCTTATAACAAAAACCTGCATATTTTTTCTTTTTAAAGAATGAAAATGAAAGCCAAGTTTCAACAGATGAAAGTGAGAACTCCAGGTCTCCTGGAAATAAATCAGATAACATCAAGCCCAAATCTGCTCCATGGAACTCTTTTCTCCCTCCACCACCCCCCATGCCAGGGCCAAGACTGGGACCAGGAAAGGTAAACCTTCTATGAAAGTTTTCCAGAAAATAGTTAATGTCGGGACATTTAACCTCTCTGTTAACTAATTTGTAGCTCTCCCATGAAACTTTTGTAGCTTAAATACACAAGAATTTTTTGAAAAGGAAATAAGATAATGATGCAAAATAGTTAATTTTTTAAAAAAATGTTAGACACTGCAGTGGATGCAACAAAATACTTTATATGAAAGATTTATCCAGTTAACTTTTGTGGAGTATTAGGTATTAGACTAATAATTAGCACACTTACTTAAGTTAGAAAGTATAATAATGCGCCGGACGCGGTAGCTCACGCCTGTAATCCCAGCACTTTGGGAGGCCAAGGTGGGCGGATCACAAGGTCAGGAGATCGAGACCATCCTGGCTAACACGGTGAAACCCCATCTCTACTGAAAATACAAAAAAATTTGCCGGGCGTGATGGCGGGCACCTGTAGTCCCAGCTACTCGGGAGGCTGAGGCAGGAGGATGGTGTGAACCCCGGAGGCAGAGCTTGCAGTGAGCCAAGATCGTGCCACTGCACTCCAACCTGGGCGACAGAATGAGACTCCATCTCAAACAAAAAAACAAAACAAAACAAAAAAAAGTGTAATAATAATTTATCATTAGCTGGATGATATGCTGTTGTTTCCCATGTCACCTGTATAAGATATGTAAAATAAGAACACATTATTTACATCTAATATAGATAAAATCCTGAGGCGCTCTCAGATTGTTTTGTAGAGTTCAAATGTAAATATTGTTTTCATTTATGGTCCTTTTGGTTATAAGTAACAGAAATCAACTCTAAAAAGATTTTTATTATAGGTTAGATTATGTCATGGAACCTTAAGGCTTGTCCCTTTCTAGTTCTTTTGTGTAAAGCGGTGATTTCTTCCATGGAGGGAATGGTATTTAGGCAATTTTTTTTTTTTTTCGAGATGGAGTCTTGCTCTGTCGCTCAGGCTGGAGTGCAGTGGCACCATTTCAGCTCACTGCAACTTCCACCTCCTGGGTTCAAGTGATTCTCCTGCTTCAGCCTCCCAAGTAGCTGAGATTACAGGCACCCGCCACCACACCCGGCTTATTTTGTATTTTTAGTAGAGATGGGGTTTCACCATGTTGGCCAGGCTGGTCTTGAACTCCTGACCTCAAGTGATCTCCCCACCTTGGCCTTCCAAAGTGCTAGGATTACAGGCGCCTAGCCTAGGCAGTCATTTTCAAAAAACAAGCATGACTCACCAAAAGTTTTAAGATTTTCTGTGATAATGTTCTTATTGAGGCTTACATTATATTACAGTTTCTTGAATCTAAAATGATGTACCCTCTTAGGATATATACATCATGCTTCATTGGTCTCAGGGGGCTGATTTTTATAAGGAGAGATTTGCTAGTTTTCACAATATGTCCTCTAAGTTGGCATGTATAGCTAAACAGGCTTTCATAAAAATATACAATTTAGTTAATGAAATTTGGGATATAGTCTTTTATGATTGAAATAATTTTGCTAAATAGACTGTCTCTGATTTATTAGGTAATCACCACTCTTATTTTGTTTTACTTCCTTAATGTCTACATAGAAAGGAAATGAGAAAAATCCAGAGGTTGTCATTTGACTTATGAGTCTGTTTGACTTCAGGATTTGGTACATGAAATTTCACTTAATCTTTTTGATATGTATAAAACAAATATTCTGGGTAATTATTTTTATCCTTTTGGTTTTGAGTCCTTTTTATTCCTATCATATTGAAATTGGTAAGTTAATTTTCCTTTGAAATATTCCTTATAGCCAGGTCTAAAATTCAATGGCCCACCACCGCCACCGCCACCACCACCACCCCACTTACTATCATGCTGGCTGCCTCCATTTCCTTCTGGACCACCAGTAAGTAAAAAAGAGTATAGGTTAGATTTTGCTTTCACATACAATTTGATAATTAGCAGAATAGAGGATTGTAAAATGTCATTGTAGAACATCCCTTGGGCCAGATTCTAATGGGTAGAAATTTGAACTAAACCTCTGGGTTTTGTTTGTTTTTAATGCCTTTCTGTTACCCAGATGCAGTGCTCTTGTAGTCCCAAGTCTAAGCTCTAGGTTGCCTTCTTTCCTGGCAGAAGTTGGTGTCTATGCCATAAGGAGGTAGTTCCTGTTAGAAGGGATTTAATTATACCTTATATAAGGAATTAGTGTTTGCCCTTCTAGGTATAGTTGGATGTTAGCTTCTGATGTAAACTGGATTTCTTTTTCTTTCTCTCTCTTTTTTTTTTTTTGTTTTGGAGGCAGAGTTTTGCCCTTGTACCCCAGGCTGGAGTGCAGTGGTGTGATCTCAGCTCACAGCAACCTCCGCCTCCTGGGTTCAAGCAATTCTGCCTCGGCCTCCCAAGTAGCTGGGATTACAGGCGACTGCCACCACACCCGGCTAATTTTTGTTTTATTAGTAGAGATGGGGTTTCACCATGTTGGCCAGACTGATCTTGAACTCCTGACCTCAGGTGATCCACCCGCCTTGGCCTCCCAAAGCGCTGGGATTACAGGCGTGAGCTGCCGCACCCAGCTGTAAACTGGATTTCTAATGGTAGATTTTTAGGTATTAACAATAGATAAAAAGATACTTTTTGGCATACTGTGTATTGGGATGGGGTTAGAACAGGTGTTCTACCCAAGACATTTACTTAAAATCGCCCTCGAAATGCTATGTGAGCTGTGTGTGTGTGTGTGTGTGTGTGTGTATTAAGGAAAAGCATGAAAGTATTTATGCTTGATTTTTTTTTTTTACTCATAGCTTCATAGTGGAACAGATACATAGTCTAAATCAAAATGTTTAAACTTTTTATGTCACTTGCTGTCTTTTCGTCCTCGTTAAATTTAATTTTGTTGGTCTTTTGTTGTTATTGGTTGGTTTTCTCCAAATGCTAGCTATGTTAAGAAATTTAAGGCCAGGTACAGTGGCTCATGCCTGTAATCCCGGCATTTTAGAAGGCTGAGGCAGGAGGATCACTTGAGCTCAGGAGTTTGAGACCAGTCTGGGCAACATAGCAAGACCTCGTCTTTGTTTAGGGGAAAAAAAAGAAATTTAAGTAGGAGATTATATAAGCAAAAATACAATTAATTTCCAGCATTCACTATATAATATAAATCTCCAGACTTTACTTTTTTGTTTACTGGATATAAACAATATCTTTTTCTGTCTCCAGATAATTCCCCCACCACCTCCCATATGTCCAGATTCTCTTGATGATGCTGATGCTTTGGGAAGTATGTTAATTTCATGGTACATGAGTGGCTATCATACTGGCTATTATATGGTAAGTAATCACTCAGCATCTTTTCCTGACAATTTTTTTGTAGTTATGTGACTTTGTTTTGTAAATTTATAAAATACTACTTGCTTCTCTCTTTATATTACTAAAAAATAAAAATAAAAAAATACAACTGTCTGAGGCTTAAATTACTCTTGCATTGTCCCTAAGTATAATTTTAGTTAATTTTAAAAAGCTTTCATGCTATTGTTAGATTATTTTGATTATACACTTTTGAATTGAAATTATACTTTTTCTAAATAATGTTTTAATCTCTGATTTGAAATTGATTGTAGGGAATGGAAAAGATGGGATAATTTTTCATAAATGAAAAATGAAATTCTTTTTTTTTTTTTTTTTTTTTGAGACGGAGTCTTGCTCTGTTGCCCAGGCTGGAGTGCAATGGCGTGATCTTGGCTCACAGCAAGCTCTGCCTCCTGGATTCACGCCATTCTCCTGCCTCAGCCTCAGAGGTAGCTGGGACTACAGGTGCCTGCCACCACGCCTGTCTAATTTTTTGTATTTTTTTGTAAAGACAGGGTTTCACTGTGTTAGCCAGGATGGTCTCAATCTCCTGACCCCGTGATCCACCCGCCTCGGCCTTCCAAGAGAAATGAAATTTTTTTAATGCACAAAGATCTGGGGTAATGTGTACCACATTGAACCTTGGGGAGTATGGCTTCAAACTTGTCACTTTATACGTTAGTCTCCTACGGACATGTTCTATTGTATTTTAGTCAGAACATTTAAAATTATTTTATTTTATTTTATTTTTTTTTTTTTTTTGAGACGGAGTCTCGCTCTGTCACCCAGGCTGGAGTACAGTGGCGCAGTCTCGGCTCACTGCAAGCTCCGCCTCCCGGGTTCACGCCATTCTCCTGCCTCAGCCTCTCCGAGTAGCTGGGACTACAGGCGCCCGCCACCACGCCCGGCTAATTTTTTTTTATTTTTAGTAGAGACGGGGTTTCACCGTGGTCTCGATCTCCTGACCTCGTGATCCACCCGCCTCGGCCTCCCAAAGTGCTGGGATTACAAGCGTGAGCCACCGCGCCCGGCCTAAAATTATTTTTAAAAGTAAGCTCTTGTGCCCTGCTAAAATTATGATGTGATATTGTAGGCACTTGTATTTTTAGTAAATTAATATAGAAGAAACAACTGACTTAAAGGTGTATGTTTTTAAATGTATCATCTGTGTGTGCCCCCATTAATATTCTTATTTAAAAGTTAAGGCCAGACATGGTGGCTTACAACTGTAATCCCAACAGTTTGTGAGGCCGAGGCAGGCAGATCACTTGAGGTCAGGAGTTTGAGACCAGCCTGGCCAACATGATGAAACCTTGTCTCTACTAAAAATACCAAAAAAAATTTAGCCAGGCATGGTGGCACATGCCTGTAATCCGAGCTACTTGGGAGGCTGTGGCAGGAAAATTGCTTTAATCTGGGAGGCAGAGGTTGCAGTGAGTTGAGATTGTGCCACTGCACTCCACCCTTGGTGACAGAGTGAGATTCCGTCTCAAAAAAAGAAAAAGGCCTGGCACGGTGGCTCACACCTATAATCCCAGTACTTTGGGAGGTAGAGGCAGGTGGATCACTTGAGGTTAGGAGTTCAGGACCAGCCTGGCCAACATGGTGACTACTCCATTTCTACTAAATACACAAAACTTAGCCCAGTGGCGGGCAGTTGTAATCCCAGCTACTTGAGAGGTTGAGGCAGGAGAATCACTTGAACCTGGGAGGCAGAGGTTGCAGTGAGCCAAGATCACACCGCTGCACTCTAGCCTGGCCAACAGAGTGAGAATTTGCGGAGGGAAAAAAAAGTCACGCTTCAGTTGTTGTAGTATAACCTTGGTATATTGTATGTATCATGAATTCCTCATTTTAATGACCAAAAAGTAATAAATCAACAGCTTGTAATTTGTTTTGAGATCAGTTATCTGACTGTAACACTGTAGGCTTTTGTGTTTTTTAAATTATGAAATATTTGAAAAAAATACATAATGTATATATAAAGTATTGGTATAATTTATGTTCTAAATAACTTTCTTGAGAAATAATTCACATGGTGTGCAGTTTACCTTTGAAAGTATACAAGTTGGCTGGGCACAATGGCTCACGCCTGTAATCCCAGCACTTTGGGAGGCCAGGGCAGGTGGATCACGAGGTCAGGAGATCGAGACCATCCTGGCTAACATGGTGAAACCCCGTCTCTACTAAAAGTACAAAAACAAATTAGCCGGGCATGTTGGCGGGCACCTTTTGTCCCAGCTGCTCGGGAGGCTGAGGCAGGAGAGTGGCGTGAACCCAGGAGGTGGAGCTTGCAGTGAGCCGAGATTGTGCCAGTGCACTCCAGCCTGGGCGACAGAGCGAGACTCTGTCTCAAAAAATAAAATAAAAAAGAAAGTATACAAGTCAGTGGTTTTGGTTTTCAGTTATGCAACCATCACTACAATTTAAGAACATTTTCATCACCCCAAAAAGAAACCCTGTTACCTTCATTTTCCCCAGCCCTAGGCAGTCAGTACACTTTCTGTCTCTATGAATTTGTCTATTTTAGATATTATATATAAACGGAATTATACGATATGTGGTCTTTTGTGTCTGGCTTCTTTCACTTAGCATGCTATTTTCAAGATTCATCCATGCTGTAGAATGCACCAGTACTGCATTCCTTCTTATTGCTGAATATTCTGTTGTTTGGTTATATCACATTTTATCCATTCATCAGTTCATGGACATTTAGGTTGTTTTTATTTTTGGGCTATAATGAATAATGTTGCTATGAACATTCGTTTGTGTTCTTTTTGTTTTTTTGGTTTTTTGGGTTTTTTTTGTTTTGTTTTTGTTTTTGAGACAGTCTTGCTCTGTCTCCTAAGCTGGAGTGCAGTGGCATGATCTTGGCTTACTGCAAGCTCTGCCTCCCGGGTTCACACCATTCTCCTGCCTCAGCCCGACAAGTAGCTGGGACTACAGGCGTGTGCCACCATGCACGGCTAATTTTTTGTATTTTTAGTAGAGATGGGGTTTCACCGTGTTAGCCAGGATGGTCTCGATCTCCTGACCTCGTGATCTGCCTGCCTAGGCCTCCCAAAGTGCTGGGATTACAGGCGTGAGCCACTGCACCTGGCCTTAAGTGTTTTTAATACGTCATTGCCTTAAGCTAACAATTCTTAACCTTTGTTCTACTGAAGCCACGTGGTTGAGATAGGCTCTGAGTCTAGCTTTTAACCTCTATCTTTTTGTCTTAGAAATCTAAGCAGAATGCAAATGACTAAGAATAATGTTGTTGAAATAACATAAAATAGGTTATAACTTTGATACTCATTAGTAACAAATCTTTCAATACATCTTACGGTCTGTTAGGTGTAGATTAGTAATGAAGTGGGAAGCCACTGCAAGCTAGTATACATGTAGGGAAAGATAGAAAGCATTGAAGCCAGAAGAGAGACAGAGGACATTTGGGCTAGATCTGACAAGAAAAACAAATGTTTTAGTATTAATTTTTGACTTTAAATTTTTTTTTTATTTAGTGAATACTGGTGTTTAATGGTCTCATTTTAATAAGTATGACACAGGTAGTTTAAGGTCATATATTTTATTTGATGAAAATAAGGTATAGGCCGGGCACGGTGGCTCACACCTGTAATCCCAGCACTTTGGGAGGCCGAGGCAGGCGGATCACCTGAGGTCGGGAGTTAGAGACTAGCCTCAACATGGAGAAACCCCGTCTCTACTAAAAAAAATACAAAATTAGGCGGGCGTGGTGGTGCATGCCTGTAATCCCAGCTACTCAGGAGGCTGAGGCAGGAGAATTGCTTGAACCTGGGAGGTGGAGGTTGCGGTGAGCCGAGATCACCTCATTGCACTCCAGCCTGGGCAACAAGAGCAAAACTCCATCTCAAAAAAAAAAAAATAA